>NC_000020.11:369365-520880 GCF_000001405.40 Homo sapiens | reverse complement strand
ATGAATTATCTTTATATAAAGTGTGAGATTTAGATTAAAGTTTATGATTTTGCATATTGATCTCCAAGTCTTCCAAAACAATTTATAGAAAAGATTATTATGCCTGTAATCCCAGCACTTTGGGAGGCCAAGGCAGGTGGATCAGTTGAGCTCAGAAATTTGAGACCAGCCTAGGCAATATGGTGAAACCCTGTCTCTACTAAAAATACAAAAATTAGCAGGGCATAGTGACACACTCCTGTGGTCCTAGCTACTTTGGAGGCTGAGGCAGGAGAATCACTTGAACCCAGGAGGCGGAGGTTGCAGTGAGTTGAGATCATGCCCCTGCACTCCAGCGTGGGCACCAGAGGCAGACCCTATCTCGAAAAAAATACATAATATATTTATATATATATGTATATATGTCCTTTCTCCATTGAACTGCCTTTGTACCTTTGTCAAAAATTAATTGGCCTTGTTTGTGTGAGTGTATTTCTGTACTCTTTATTCTGTTCCCTTGATCTATGTATTATCCTTTTGCCAATACACTGTTTTGACAACTATAGCTTTGTAATAAGTTTAAGATCAGTTAGTATAATTCTTCCAGCTTTATTATTTTTCAGAATTGTTTGGATTATTCTGGTTCATTTGGATTTCTTTTTTAATCCAGTCTGATATGATAGTCTTTGTCTTTTACCTGGATAATTTATTCCACTTATATTTAATATAATTAATCATATTCCAATTCAACTTTCTTCCCCTATGCTTCTTATGTTCTAGATTTTTTTCTTCTCCCTTCTTAACATTCTTTTGGATTCTTTTTATGATTTTACTTTTCCCTCTTTCTGGTTTGGAAATATATGCTATTTTTATTCTGTAATTAGTTGTCATACATCTTGTGACTTGCAGCTATAACTTAGCAAAACCTGATATTATAATTTTATCTTCTTTTCATATAATAAAAGACCTTTAGAAAGAATACTTTGAAATCTCCTCAATACACTGTGTTTTTATTGTTATGTATTCTATGTTTTAAAGCTCCTCAAGGTATTGTTATTCTTTTGTATAATCAGTGTTTGTTTGGAGCTGTCTGTAAATTTTCCTCTTTTTTGCTCTTTATTTTTTCTTTCAACTCAGACCTTCCAAAATGGGATTATTTTTCTTTTTTCTTTAGAGACATTTGCTTGATAACAGAATTTTAATTTGGCGGCTATTTATTTTTTTCAGCACACTGCAGGTATTAAACTACTTGGCTTCATTGTTGGTTTTGAAAAATCAGCTGTTCTAATGTTGCTCTTTGAATATAATCTGCCTTTTTCTGTACTTGCTTGTCTTTAGTTTTTTGTTTTTGTTTGAGACAAGGTCTTGCTGTTTTGCCCAGGCTGGCCTCCAACTCCTGGGCACAAGCAATCTTCCTGTATCAGCCTCCCAAATAGCTGGGACTATAGGCCTGTGCCATTACACCCAACTCATCTTTGTTTTTTCCTGCTATTTTGTAATTATATGTTTGGTTTTGGATTTCTTTTTATTGATCTTGTTTGGAAATTGTTTGCTTCTGGAATTTGATTGTGTCTGATTGCTTCTGGGATATTTTCAACTGTCTTCAGTTACTGCCTTTATCCCATTCTCTTTTCTGCTAGTACCAATTAAAAGTATATCAAACTGGCTGGGCACGGTGGCTTACGCCTATAATCACAGCACTTTGGGAGGCCAAGATGGGCGGGTCACTTGAGGTCAGAAGTTCAAGACCAGCCTGGCCAAAACATGGCAAAACCCCCTCACTACTAAAAATACAAAAATTAGCCGGGCATGGTGGCATGCACCTGTAGTCCCAGCTACTCTGGAGGCTGAGGCAGGAGAATCACTTGAACCTGGGAGGCAGAGGTTGCAATGAACTGAGATCGTGCCACTGCACTCTAACCTGGGTGGCAGAACAAGACTTTGTGGCAAAAAAAAAAAAAAAAAAAAGTATATCCAACGATTTCACTATATTTTTCCTCTTGTTTTTTGAGATCTGCTAGGACATTGTATTTAAAAATAAATAATTGGCTGGGTGCGGTGGCTCACACCTGTAATCCCAGCACTTTGGGAGGCCAAGGCGGGTGGATCACGAGGTCAGGAGATCGAGACCGTCCTGGCTAACACGGTGAAACCCCGTCTTTACTTAAAAAAAAAAAAAAAAAAAAAATTAGCCGGGCGTGGTGGCGGACTCCTGTAGTCCCAGCTACTCGGGAGGCTGAGGCAGGAGAATGGCGTGAACCCAGGAAGCAGAGCTTGCAGTGAGCTGAGATCAGGCCACTGTACTCCAGCCTGGGTGACAGAGCGAGACTCTGTCTCAAAAAAATAAAAAATAATAAAAATAAAAATAGATATTTGTAGTGATCATTTGAGGCCCACAGTAAGGTACTTTCCTCCATGGAGAGCTTGCTTATATCAGGTATGCATGGGCACTAATCCAGAGACCACCTTAAAACAAGCTTAAGATATGATATTCCCTTCAGTAGGGCTTTAATTCCTCCCTGGATCTTCCACTCCCTAGTCACTCTCACCATTAGGAAGTATGCCTCTGAAGTCCCACCTTATGAAGAGGGCCTCCTATTAGACTTTTTGTCTTGTGAGAGCCCTGGGCTTTGGTTTATGTGAGAACAAAATTCTAATTTTCAGGATCAACAAAGGCTTTCCAGGCTTCCTTGCTTGCTTATATCTCTGGGTTTGCATTTTCTATTCCCTTTTGGCTATAATTACTTCTCTGTCTTATTTAAAGATGAGTGGGCCAGGTGTGGTGACACATGCCTGTAGCCTCAGTTACTTGGGAGGCTGAGGTGGGAGGATTACTTGAGCCCAGGAATTTGAAGTGGCAGTGAGCTACGATTGTGCCACTGCACTCCAGCTTGGGCAACAAGGAACTGATTAGTGTTGGAAGTAGAGAAAAGAAAATAAAGAGAAAGAATTCCAAAGCTTGTGAATTAATGATACTGTTTGTTTTAAGCACAAAATGGTAACAGTCGAGTAAACTAATAGTCTCCAAATCAGATATAAAAAGGTTGCTGACCTGATGTGCAAAAAAAGCACATCAGGTGCTTTTTTACACCTGATGCCACGTTGCATGTGGCATCCAATGATGTGTTTCTTATAGAAGATAACAAAATGTGCCAGCCTTTGGTCATTTTAGGGTGCAAAATTATAGGTCTTTAAAATTCTTAACTTGCTTTAAAGTGTTACGCTTTGCAATTTCTTGTTTTAATGTTTTCCATCTGAATAATTCCTGTGCGTACTTTAAGTGCAGTTTTTTTTTTCTCTTACAGTTTTTCCCCATTTTAGGTACTCCATAAATATTTGTTGAATGAATGATGGGTTGGTGATAGTTTAAATACCCTTCAACGTCTGTACACCACCATGACTTAATTGTTTCAAGCACTGATCACTTGAGATTGTAATGGTCTGTTTTCTTTGTCTGAGGGCAGAGATACTTTCTCCAGGACCAAGAGAAAGAATGCCTTTCTGGCAGTCAGGCACACATTTCCTGGTACATAGTAAACGTTCAGTAAATGCTTGATGTATGAGCATTCTGCTCTTGATTGGAAAGGAAGAAAGAAATTAAGGTTAAGTATGGACATTTGAAATAAGTAATTCAGGTAACATTAGCTACTTGTGCTTTTTTGTATTAAGTTGGCCTTCTAATCAGTGCCCCTTTTGTAAAGGGAAATGGGCAAGTTTGACTGAATTTTTCTCTTTGCTTCTGTAGCAAGGTAGAAAAGTATACATATTTAAGGTCTCGCTGAGTTCCACAAGTCTTGTTTGTCTCTTACCAGTTTATGTTGCCTGATTGCTTGGAAAAAGAGTTCATTCTCTGCAGCAGTGCATAAAAGGTGTCTTCCTGTATAGCTGCTTTTCCTCTAAACAAGCAGTCCTAAACCATGCAGTCAGTGCAATCTAAGCACATTCCTCATTCTTTGCTATAGAAATCTTTGTCCTGTCGGGATGATGATGAGATCTTGTTCATTTGCTATGGTTCATTTAGGGATGAGAAGGAGATTTTTTTTTTCCTTTTAAGATGGAGACTAATAAACATTAGGGTTAAAAAGAACTAATTATATTACAGTTCAAAAATTGACTTAAAGTTCTAGAATGATCTTTTCCATTTCTGATACTAGGAAATTCATCAATAAAAATACATTAGCAGAAATGACTAAGCAAACTTGTTTGTATAGTTTTCTGGTATTGGACTGTTACTAAGCCTCTAGTTTTCTTTTTAGTTGCCAAATTGAAAAATAACAACTGAACATAAGAGATTAGAAGGAGGGACTAGCTAAGGGCAAGAGGAGTTTTTATTGAAATTAATTCTGCTGTATTCAGTGTATATCAGTAAACTTATGATTTTGGCAATGGACAATTTTTCCTTATGGTTTAATGGCATTTTCTTTTTATTTACTTATACTTTATTAAAGAATAGGTCATGCAGACCCATGCAGTTGGCTTCGATGTGATCTTACTTCAGTCGGGAAAAATTCATTGACATGATACTTTTTTCGTAGCTGATTAATTGGCTTCTGTTAGGCTAAACGTTGAGCATACAAGACCTAGCCATGTCTTCAAAGTCATTCTGACGGTGTTAAGGTAGATGTAGTGGTCTGAAATGGTTAGCCACTAAAGTTACACCTCCTTTTATGCAATTACATGAGAACAGTAAGCACTAAGTAAGACAATTTAAAATGGAACTTAATAAGAAAGGCAGTGCATTTTGTTAGATTGCCTTAAGATATACTAGTATTATGAACAGTGGAGAGGAGAATTGATCTTCCAAATATCTAGGACTCAGGCACTTTTTCCATCTTCCAAATAAGCTGCTATAAAAATTGGTAAAATCAAGTTTCTTCAGTATTCTCTTAATTTGAATTATCGAGGGGAAAAAGACAAATCCTAGTTGTAGTCCTGTGATTTAATAGAAGCTGTAGTATTGGGAAAGAGAGAGAGGGAAGGGAACAATTACTCAAGAACCTTTGACTTGGTTTTCCAGTTCTCCTAGTTGCGTACCAGATGACCTGAAGTATTTAGGAACACCCTATACTTTGGATGCAACTTCATTTTCATTTCATTTTTAAAAAATAAACCAAGATTAATTTGATCACCAAATAGTGTTTACTGAACGTGCTACAAAATGCAAGCCTTAGGCTAGGTACTATAAATTAAAAAGGTAAATTAAACATGGTTCTTAACTTTGTAGAACTTAGGGTCCAATTGAGAAATTAAGATTTGAAGACTGGTGTGTGTGTGTGTGAATGTGCAGTAGAAAGTGATTGTGTTCTGTAGGAGTGAGAAGACTTGAACCTTGGAGGCCAACTCACTGTCTTTGAATCCCAGCTGTAACTGTATTGGATATTCTTGGTCAAGCTACTGAACTTAGGCTGTTCTTATTTGTAGATTAGAGAAACTAATGCTTGCCTCGTAGAGTTGTTGGAAGAGTTAGATACTTAAAGCTGAGAAACTCTTAGTTCCAGACTTGTAATATCTAACTGCCTATTCAGAATCTTCGTTTGAATGATTCAAAGCCATTTTAACCTTAAGTCCAAAACCTATCTTGTGCACTCTTATCTCCATGAATGGCACCAACAGTCTGTCAAGCAAGAAATCCAAGAGTCACCTCCCACTTCATACAGCATTTTCCAGTTCACTCAGAGCTATTGATTTTACACCATAAATTTTGTTCCTCATATTAGTCCACTGATCTCCACATGCCACCACCTTAGGTCATCATTTCTCTCACGTGTGCTACTGTTAACAGCCTTCTCCCTAAGTCCTGTCCCACACTCAGCCAGAGTAAAAATTTTAAAAACAATATGTATGGGTCACTTTTCTGCTTAAAACTTTTCAATGAATTTCTGTTACCCTTAGTCCATAGGTAAAATCTTCAATGGCATACTTGTCTCACCCCTGTTCTGCCTTGCTCACTTATATTCCTAAGGCCTAGGATAGTACTTTTTCATAGTAGATGGTTATCTATTTAAGGGATGGACAAAATCAGGAATGTAGGGAAGAATCAAACCAAAAATTGAGAAATGTAGGCTGTGTGTTTTCTTCCTGTTAGCTTACATGTGATATACATATGCATTTGCAGAGGTATAAGTGAAATACTATTTCTAAATAAGATAATGTTTATCTTGGTTGGGCATGGTGGCTCACACCTGTAATCTCAGCACTTCGGGAGGCTGAGGCTGGTGGATCACTTGAGTCCAGGAGTTTGAGACCAGCCTGGGCATCATGACAAAACCTTGTCTCTACAAAAAATACAAATATTAGCTGGGCCTGATGGCGCATAGCTATAGTCCCAACTACTCAGGAGGCTGAGGTGGGAGGATTGCTCAAGCCCAGGAGATGAGGTGGAGGTTTCAGTGAGCCGAGCGAGATTGCACCACTGCACTCCAGCCTGGGTGACAGCGCAAGACCCTGTCTCCTGTCTCAAAAAAATAATAATGATAATATTTGGTCTTTGACCTCCCTTTTCTGTCTTTTCACATCCCCTCTTGTTTTTGTTTTTTGTTTGTTTGTTTGTTTGTTTTTGAGACAGGGTCTTGCTCTGTCACCCAGGTTGGAGTGCAGTGGTGAGATCATGGCTCACTGCAACCTTGACCTCCCAGGCTCAAGTGATCCTTCCATCTCAGCCTACCAAGTACCTGGGACCACAGTTGTACTCCACTACACCCAGCTCATTTTTATGTTATTTGTAGAGAGGAGGTCTCGCTGTGTTGCCCAGGGTGGTCTCAAACTCCTGGGCTCAAGTGATCCTGCCAGAGTGCTGGGATTATAGGTATGAGCCACCACACTGGGCTTCACATCCCCTTTTTATCACCATCCCTTAACCCCCAATCTCTTAGTACCCTTTTATCTATCTGAGATTACAGAGTCACAGTTGAAGAATCCTCTGTTTTATTTTCCCGTATAATTAATGAAGGCCAGCCATTTGAAATTCATGTGAATACCTTTCTTACTATAAGCAGATTATTTGGTATGCGTGACAGTAAGGTGAAGCACCTCTTTGGGGGTACTGCAAAAATAGTTAGCTTGTTGTCTTCCCAGTGGAGAATCAGATCTGCTAGTTCATAAATTAGGTCCCAGTTGATGAGCCCCAAAGCTTCAAGGGTCATTCAGACAAGTACTGGAGAATCTCAAGAGTTTCATTAGTTATTAGTCTTTTCCCACTCCTCACAGAGGATGCCAGGGCCTTGAAACAGCAGAAGAAGACTGGGTGATGAGAATGTACATGACTAGTAATAGGAGTTGGCTATTCTCCATATGTCAGATGGTTTCCAGGGAGAAATGAGGACTCATTTTGTAATGTCATGTATACTTGGGAGTTAGCCCTCAGTGGCCGGGAATTAACCACGGCTACTATAATTTTTGTATTTTAAAGAATGAAGGTTCCAGCCTGTAAAGATAGGTTTCTGCTTATTAGCTTTCACTAAGGAGCTAGGGGATAGTAATTACTTAATACAAATTTACATGCATTTCATGTTTCTAAGCCCTTTCTGGAAGATCATCTCACTTCATCTTCCCTTCAGTCTGCAAGCACAGTTAGACAGGTTTTATAAGTGATGAACCAAAGCTGGGAAAAGCCCAACAGAGAGATCACTTTTAAGCATAGGAAAAGGGCTTTGAGATCCACAGACGAAGGCTGTCTTACACGTATAAAATGTTAACCAGAAGAGTAAAGTGGCTGTAAAGGTTATGTAGAGAAAGATACTGTTTCCTGTCAGAGGAGAGGCTGAGAATTTAAAAGTTTAGTATATTAAAAGTAATAAATTTCTGGGGACAGCATTTCTGTTGGGTTCATGCTGCTGTTTCTACTATTTTGGCCATATTCACACCTACACCTTTCTCTACGGTTTTCCTAGTGTCTTTCATTGCTGTCAAGGCAGGCATAGTAGTCACAGAGTCACCAATCCTACAACATAGATGACCTTATTTCTTTGGGAAGAAGAAAAATTACAAGAAAACATCTGGTTTTTGCATGTTTGATGTGTTTGTGTGTGTGTGCGTTTACAGTTTTAACTGATATTAAGTGAAGATAGATTAATGTCACCCAGGTTTTACAAAATCAAAGAAATAGAAATAATTTTAAAGACTTTTGGTACTTGAATTACTTTGTTGTTTTCTGGTCATTTAGTACATTTATGGAACCTCAGAAGGTTTGAGTTGAACAGAGGCAAGTTACAGCAGTTTTTTGGGTGGGAGAATTCATAAGTCAGCATGTGAATCTTTTGATCTCATATATTTGGAGTGGAATGTCATTAATTGTGTTTGTCACGGTTAAGGAATAGAGAATTAATCTCCATCCCAGTCTTGCTATTCTTCTGAAAGCCTTTAGCTGCCGACACCATGGGCATAAGGAGGTATCTCTTCTGGCTTCTCTTTGGGTGTGGTAGCTAAGTTACAGCTTACCTTGGAAAGATGAGCAGCTTGTAAGCAACAAAAAAACAGTATAGTTAACAAATGCATCGTCAACAAACAAAACAACCCAATCAAAAAATGGACAACAGCTTTGAATAGACATTCTCCAAAACAAATATACAAATGGCCAATAAGCATGTAAAAAGATGCTCAACATCATTAATCATTAGGGAAATGCAAATTAAAATCACAGTCAATGAGATACAACTTCATACTCATTAGGAGGGCTGTTACTGAAAAAAAAAAAAGAAGAAGAAGAAAAGAAAACCAAAAAATAGGCCAGGCACAGTCTATTTTGAGAGCACTTTGGGAGGCCGAGGTGGGAGGATCCCTTGAGGCCAGGAGCTCAAGACCAGCCTGGGCATAAGCAAGACCCCTGTCTCTATAAAAACAAGCAAAAAACAGAAAATAACAAGTGTTAGTAAGGATGTAGAGAAGTTGTAGCCTTTGCACTGTTCCTGGGAGTGTAAAATGATACAGTTGCTGTATAGGAGTGAGCCACCGTGCCCAGCTTGTTGAAACAATATGCTGGTTCTTCAAAAAATTAACATAGAATTACTACATGGTTCAGCAGTTCCACTTCTGGATATATACATAAAAGATTTGAAAGCGAGGTCTCAAACAGATGTTTGTACACCTATGTTCATAGCAGCATTATTTACAATAGCCAAGCTGTGGAAGCAACTCAAGTGTCCATCAGCAGATAAATGGATAAGCAAAATGTGGTGTGTGTGTGTGTGTGTGTGTGTGTGTATATATATACACAGTGCAATATCATTCAGCCTTTAAAAGGATTGGAATTCTAACACATGCTACAACATGGATCAGCCTTGAAGACATTATGCTAAATTAAATAAACAAAACAAAGGACAAATATTGTCTGATTCCACTTATATGAGGTTCCTAGAATAGCCAGCTCAGGCAGAAAATAGAATAGTGGTTGCAAAGAGTTGGGGGAGGGAAAATTAGTGTTTAGTGGATACATAGTTTTCATTTGGGATGGTAAAAATTTGTAGAAATGGATGATCTGGTGATTACTGCACAAGAATGTGAATATACTTAATGCAACTGAGCTTTAGGTTTAAATGTGGATAAAATGGCAGTTTTTATTTTTTTTAGATGAGGTCTCTCTCCTGTCACCCAGGCTGGAGTGCAGTGGTGCAATCACAGCTCACTGTAGCCTCGACTTCCTGGTCTCTGGTGATTCTCCTGCCTCAGCCTCCCAAGTAGCTGGGACTGCAGGCAGACACCATCACACCTGGCTAATTTTTTGTATTTTCAGTAGAGATGGGGTTTTACCATGTTGCCCAGACTGGTTGCGAACTCCTGGGTTCAAGCGATCCACCCTCTTAAGCCTCCCAAAGTGAGCCACTGTGCCTGGCCATAAAGTTTATGTTATGTATATTTTACCACAATTTAAAAAAGTGTTTCAACAAGCTGGGTATGGTGGATCACTCCTATAATCACAGTACTTTGGGAGGCTGTGGTGGGAGCATCACTTGAACCCAGGAGTTTGAGACCAGCCTGGGCAACATAGGGAAACCCCATCTTTACAAAAAAAAAATTTATTTAATTAGCCAGCTGTGGTAGCCCACGCCTGTGGTCCCAACTACTTGGGAGGCAGAGGTGGGAGGATTGATTGAGCCTGGGAGGTCAAGGCTGCAGTGAGCTGTGATCAGACCACTGTACTCTAGCCTGGCCTACAGAGGGAGACCTTGTTTCAAATAAGAAGATTTCAACAAAAAGTAAATAAAAATAGTACAAAGGGCATCTCTATTCCCTTTACGCACGTTTACCTATTGTAATATTTTACCCAGCTTGTTTTATCATTTGTGAGTGTGCAGTCATGTGTGCTATATATATACACATGTAAACGTGTGGGCACATTTTTTTCCTGAATCATTTTAGGGTAGATTATATGCATCATGGCTGTTTACTTCTAATTACTTCAGGAAAATTTCTTAACAATAGACATATTCTTGGGCTGGGCGAGGTGGCTCACGCCTGTAATCCTAGCACTTTGGGAGGCCGAGGAGGGCGGATCACCTGAGGTCGGGAGTTTGAGACCAGCCTGACCAACATAGAGAAACCCTATCTCTACTAAAAATACAAAATTAGCCAGGCATGGTGGCGCATGCCTGTAATCCCAGCTACTCGGGAGGCTGAGGCAGGAGAATCACATGAACCTGGGAGGCGGCAGAGGTTGTGGTGAGCCAAGATCACGCCATTGCACTCCAGCCTGAGCAACAAGAGCGAAACTCCATCTCAAAAAAAAAAAAAAAAGAATAGGTATATTCTCTTAACTATTGTGATTATGTACCAACTTCACAAATTTACATTGATACAATAATTTAATACCCTCTGAATTCCAGTTCTGTCGATATTGTTTTTTATAGCATCCCCCTCCACCTCCTGCAGTATGGGATACAGTCTAGAGTATTGCATTTATGCAATGTCTCTTTAGCCTCCATTTGTCTTTTATGCTGTGGACATGTTTTAGAAGTATAGTACCCCTTCCCCCTTTTTAAATAGACACTTCCTCTTTTTCTGAATGTTTCCTGGTAATTGAATTGAAGTTATGGCTGGGTGCGGTGGCTCACATCTGTGATCTCAGCACTTTGGGAGGCTGAGGTGGGAGGATTGCTTGAGCCTGGGAGTTCAAGACCAGCCTGGGCAACATGGTGAAACACCGTCTCTACTGAAAATACAGAAAATTAGCTGAGGGTGGTGGTGCGTGCCTGTAGTCTCAGCTACCTGGGAGGCTGAGGTGAAAGAATCACCGGAGTCCAGGAAGTTGAGGCTTCAGTGAGCCATGATCACACCACTGCATTCCAGTCTGGGCAGTGGAATAAGACCCTGTCTTAAAACACATACACACATACAAATTGAAGTTATGCTGTCTCAGCCAGGAGACTTGCATACGTGTTATATCCTTCTCACGTTATCACAATCTGGAGACTCAATACAATTTCATCTAAATGCATAATGAGGGGAATCAGCACATGCTGTAGGAGATAGGGAAGACATCATTGGAAAGGAACCTGATTTGATAGCATATTTCTAACATCTTACTTATTTTCCCCCGGTGTCAAATTTTGCATTAGCTCAGCTAATCTGTATTACTGTTTTATACCAGTTTTTAAGCTCCTGTATTAAATATAAAGAGAATATTACTGATTTCTGTTTTTAAATTTAATGAAACCAAGTGTGTCTTTCAAATGGTGATCAAGGTTCTACTGATTATTACCTTAAGGTTCCCCCAAAAGATTTGGATTGGTATAAGATGACATGGAGCTTTGATGTATGAGAACAAGCCTTTATTCTCTTCCTGGTTTCATCAAATATGAGTCAGAATGGCAAGTTGTACTCTTAGCTTTGCCGCCATTCTAGAACCTTTTAGCACCCCTACTTAAGTTACAGAAAGCTGCTGAAAAGAAAGTATTTTTCTTGCCAATACCTTTTGTAGAATATATAACTAGTGGTAATGCTGATGTATCTATCCTCAATGCCATTTTTCTCTTCCAGGCTGTCTTACAAAAATCATTCAAATTTTGCCTGCAGAGGTAACAGGATATTTGGCAAAATATGATTAAAGCAAATATCAGTTTACTGTATTTCTTGGGATTTTTCTTCTCATGTTATAGGAAGCACTGGTTAACACAGTTGAGCTATATTTATTGGCTGTAGGTAGGAGAGCCAGAGGTATATTTCAGGCCATTATTATTTGTAAGATTATTTCCTTCCCATATACCTTCTGTAAATGATTCCTTGGACTTTGTGCATTTTGTTTCTGCAGTTTGAAGAAAACAGGTCTGAAACAAGGTCTTACCCCCAGCTGCTTCTGAACACAGTGACTGCCAGATCTCCAAACATCAAGTCCAGCTTTGTCCGCCAACCTGTCTGACATGTCGGGACCCGTGCCAAGCAGGGCCAGAGTTTACACAGATGTTAATACACACAGACCTCGAGAATACTGGGATTACGAGTCACATGTGGTGGAATGGGGGTAATTGTTTTTGTTGACTTCATTATACTCACTCAAAGGGCTGAATCTTGTGGATCTGTTGAGTAGTTTTTGTCAGAAAACCTCCGTGACTCTGTATGTGTATACCTCAGGATCAAAGCCCAATTTGTGTTTTCTTTTGAGCTGAAAATTTGGTTTTGCAGTGAGGAAGCAGAGTTGCTTTGGCAAGTGAACAATTTTAATGGGCTTACCATTTAAAAATCATTTTAGTTTCTTATCCTTTTCTATGATGTATATGCAGTCGTGCACCACATAACAAAGTTTGAATTAATGACAGACCACATGTAGGACAGTGGTTCCATAAGATTATAAGAGAGCTGAAAAATGTCTGTGGCCTAGTGATGTCATCGTAACATCAACAGTGCATTCATTACCTTTTCTACGTTTAGATACACAAATACCATTGTGTTACAATTGCCTAAAGTATTTATTACGGTACACATTTGTATCCTAGGAGCCGTAGGCCATACCCTAGGTATGTAATATGCCATACCATGTAGGTTTGTGTAAACACTCTGATGTTTAACACATTTCTCAGAATGTCATTAAATAACGCATGACGGTATTCTGTATGGGCACCTGGCAACAAAAAGTTACCTATCAGCTTGCTTATCAAGCCAAGGGCATTGCAGATCAGTGAGAAGTGATACTTGAGAGACTTTGAAAACACCAAAGTCTTATATAAAGTATTTTTGAGGTAGAGAATGTTGTTTCGTGTTAATACAGGAGGACGAAACAGTTCTCCAAAGAGGTAACTTCTTTCTGATGAGAAACAATTAAATTCTTAAACATTTGCCCTTATCCTGAGACTAGGCATGTCTTAGCATGGAATTCAGCCCAAATTCTATCTTGAACAGTTGTAGTCTGCCTGAACAGCTGTGTTTGCCCTCCTAATTCTCTGTGCAGACTCATTTGGATGTTTGCATTTCCTGTCCCAATGTGGTAGACATTTAATTGTTCAGATCATACTTTTGTGATAAAAGCATTTTGACATTCAAGTGCAAAAGAAAGCAATTTGAAAACTAAAGCTACAGCTCCTGTATGCTGTATTTTATATCTGACTGCATGTGATTTCTGTAACCTGTAAGTGGTTAGTGGATGGCTTCCCTAAATTGTCATAGGGCGTATTTTTAATCTTGAGTATGCCATGAATTTGTGTATGTGTGTGTGTGGAAATGAGTCTTGCTCTGTTGCCCTGGCTGCAGTGCAGTGGTGTGATCTCGGCTCACTGCAGCCTCCGCCTCCTGGGTTCACGTGATTCTCCCACCTCAGCCTCTCGAGTAGCTGGGATTACAGGCACCTTCCACCCTACCCAGCTAATTTGAGTATGCCATGATTCTTAACAGTAAATACATTGCCTCTGAATACAGAGGCACTGTATGCTGTAAAGACACCATTAAATGCCAGTGTGGTTTAGTACCAATAAATGTTGTTATTACTGATAATCTAACAATTCTCCTCTTATGTCACAGGCTTTGGACTCTAGGTGACACTGTGTTTACTATAGGAATTTCAGCCGCTATCTTCAAATTGAGTGCTTTGCACTTGGTTCTGCTTAAATGGCACTAAAGAGCCCTTTTGGGCTTTTGGCATGGTTCTGTTTGCTTGCTGGCATTTGTTTTGTATGCCCTCCCATAGGAAGAGAACTCAACCAGAAGTAGGAGCATTCTTCCCCTACACCTGCCATGATTATTATGTTGTCCATTGTTTTTAGTACCTTTTGTCTTTTCATTCACTTTCTTTTTAGCTACTTGAGGAAAATGAATGGTTGAGGTGGTTGATTTGGTTCATATTGGATACTTAGTAGGTCCAGAGGATTCTATCCAGTAGGATAGAATTTAGGCCTTATTGGAACTGTGTTTGTCATTCTTCAGAGCAAAGCGCTCTACATTGGAAGCAGGCAGGGGCAGGAGGAAAATGTTGGCATTTCCCTTATTCTACCTCTGTTTATTACCTCTGATGTTGCTTATTGGTCACAGAATATGGGTATATGTAGAGGAGGGGATCGCTGATTATAGTTTACAATCTATAATGTGCTTCGTACTACGCATGGACTATCCCCAGAGCTTGCCCTGGAGGGCAAATAGATTAAGCCTATACATTTGAAAGCCATTTACCTTCAAAGAGGCCTGTTAAAAATCAGCTGCTGCCAAAGTGTGGCTAGATTGAAACAGTCTTGCAAAATGTTTTTAGTTCCTGCTAAGTGCCAACACTGGACCAAGCACTAAGGGACAAGAATATATAAAAATTATTCTCCGGCCGGGTGCGGTGGCTCACGCCTGTAATCCCAGCACTTTGGGAGGCCAAGGCGGGCGGATCACAAGGTCAGGAGATCGAGACCATCCTGGCTAACACGGTGAAACCCCGTCTTTACTAAAAATACAAAAAAATTAGCCGGGCGTGGTGGTGGGCGCCTGTAGTCCCAGCTACTAGGGGAGGCTGAGGCAGGAGAATGGCGTGAACCTGGGAGGCGGGGCTTGCAGCGAGCCGAGATCACGCCACTGCACTCCAGCCTGGGCGACAGAGCAAGACTCCGTCTCAAAAAAAAAAAAAAAAAAAAAAATTATTCTCTTGGGGAAAGCTGTCTCTTGTTGGAGACAAACGTATTTAGAACAAACCTTAATACAAGCCAGCTCCATGTCATGTGCCAATAAAGATGTAAACAGTTTGGGATTAGAAAGAATAATTGAAAGGTATAAGTTTTTCTAATTCTAGGATTTGAAACACACGTATTTTAATTGGCCTAATTTAAAAAAAAAAAAAATACAATGGGCCAGGCGCGGTGGCTCACGCCTGTAATCCCAGCACTTTGGGAGGCCGAGGCGGACGAATCACGAGGTCAGGAGATCGAGACCATCCTGGTTAACACGGTGAGGACCCGCCGTCTCTACTAAAAATTCAAAAAATTAGCCGGGCATGGTGGCAGGCGCCTGTGGTCCCAGCTGCTCGGGAGGCTGAGGCAGGAGAATGGTGTGAACCCGGGAGGTGGAGCTGGCAGTCAGCAGAGATCGCGCCACTGCACTCTAGCCTGGGCGACAGAGTGAGACTCCATCTCCAAAAAAAAAAAAAAAAAAAAAAAAACCTATTTGGGAATTGTTTGAAATACTTCTTATTTCTATTACAGCTGCTGGTAATAGATTCCTGTAATTTGAATTGATGCTGATAATTTGACCGTTTATAAGTCATTTTGTTTGTGTCCACAGAAATCAAGATGACTACCAGCTGGTTCGAAAATTAGGCCGAGGTAAATACAGTGAAGTATTTGAAGCCATCAACATCACAAATAATGAAAAAGTTGTTGTTAAAATTCTCAAGGTGAGTACAAGAGATAATTTCAGAGGTATTTGGAATATAGATTTTTAAAAGTAGTTTTGAAGACTTTTTTAAAACAGCATTTAAAAGGTTTTTGGTGCCAAAGCAAATAAATAAAATTTTATTGTATCCTATGAACTCAATAGAACAAGTTCTGCTTATTTGACAGATCGGGAAACTGAAGCAAGAGAAGTGATTTGAGTTGACTCATATAGCTAGGTTGTGGCAGAGTAAGGGAGCAAAGGTACAGTCTCTTCTCTCCCAGTTATTGCCTAATACTTATTTCCTTTACTTTTCATTATATAATGAGGCTTTTGTTTTCAATAAATAAATCATTGCCTCTACTTTGTAAAGATGAGGAGTCACAGGACTCGAGGGGGACAGACAGATGATATTAGTGCAGCTAGTCGGGTGTAATTGCCCTTGCTTAGGTGATGTGAGTGGTAGGGACTGAAACAAACTGGGAAACACATGCCTCTTCAAAAGGAGTTAGCTGCTTCTCAGCTGAAGCTGATGATTGCCCTGCAGTAATGCAAGTCCATTGTTGCTTGATACTCTGTTTTGCAAATAAAAGCCAGAAATTTATATTTGTATATGAATTTTCCTGACTTTTAAGTGTTGGCTCAAGATTTTAAAAAAACAATGCACAGGCCAGATTTGGCCTCTGGGAGACCAATATACAACTTTTAATTTAGTTATAACTATGCTGTGCACTGTCATATATTGGGAACTTAGCATATAGTTCCTTACCACAGGAACTTTTTCATATTTGACACTGAAAAGTAGAAGTTTCCAAACTTTCTCAATTTATAACACTTATACTGTCTTTAATTTTTCACGGTACTCCTAAGTCAAGAAATACCTCATAGTTCTCTGTATTAAGTAGCAAGGTCCAAATAGCTAAGTAAGTTTTGTTTTTTTTATTGTTTTTGTTTTTGTTTTGAGAAGGAGTCTCGCTCTGTCGCCCAGGCTGGAGTGCAGTGGCGCGATCTCGGCTCACTGCAACCTCCGCCTCCTGGGTTCAAGCGATTCTCCTGCCTTAGCCTCCCAAGTAGCTGGGACTACAGATGCACGCCAGCAATGCCCGGCTAATTTTTGTAATTTTAATAGAGACGGGGTTTCACCATATTGGTCAGGCTGGTCTCAAACTCCTGACCTCAGGTGATCCGCCCGCCTCGGCCTCCCAAAGTGCTGGGATTACAGGCGTGAGCCACTGCGCCTGCCCGCTAAGTATTTATATCTTAGCAACTTGGTAGCCATTTAAAAAGTTATTCACATAAATTAAAAGAAAAAAGTTAAATTTGTTCTTATATAACTATAATTTGTTACTGTTGGGTTATGTAGACCTGTTGCTGCATAGCTTTTCAAATGTTGTCATTGGTTGGACACCACCACCCTCATTTCCTGTCATTGATTTTTGTGCAGTACTTGCTTTTTACCACAGCAACTACTGCAAACCCAGCTTCACAAAAATATGCCATCGCGAGGAGTATAACACAATCCATCACGAGGAGTGTAACACAATCTAATGTTGAAACTACGAACCACCTCAAGCTGGCAGTGCACCCAGTGTCTGGCAGATTCAACGATGGGTTGATGTGTCTTCCTCAAAAATGTAAAGTGTTCCACAGTATTCCTGTGCATTGCTGGGGTGCTTCACATGCCCTTTGAGAACCAGAGAGTTTAAGTATTTATATCTGTCTTGAAATATGTAGAAAGAGAACTAGGTTGGAAATCAAAACATGTGGGTGACTAGCCATAGTAGTCCTTTTAACCTAGGACATGTTTATCCATCTATTAAAAAGAATGTTGGCTGAGCATGGTGGCATGTGCCTTTAGTCGCAGGTCCTCGAGGGGCTAAAGTGGGAGGATCGCTTGAGCCTGGAAGTTGAAGGTTGCACGGATCTATGATCAAACCACTGCACTCCAGCCTGGGCGATGAGAATGAGACCCTGTCTCAAAAAACAAAAAGGATCAAACACAAAATTGTGTGTATATATACATACGTTGGAGACTGGAGTTCTTTGTGATTGTATGGTGATATTCATATGGAAAGGTATATGATAGAATGAGGTGATATATTATTATTTAGAGCCACATGAAAAGCATGCATAGTGGGTCTACAGTTCAGAAGAGGGTAGTAGTTAGGAAAAGCTCCCAGGAGCTGTCTTCAGGCTGAATGGGAGGAGGATTTGGATAGGTGTTGGGTGGAAGTGGTGAAGGGAAGCAGGCTGTAGAGTGCACCAAGATAAGAAAAGAGGAGGAGGGAAAAGTGAGAGAAATATTTCATGTGAAAGATGTTATGTGACCATACATAGGAGTTGAACTTGGAAAGAGAGATTAAGTTGGCGAAGGCCTGGAAAAAATAATCTCTGCATTTCCTTGCAGTCTTAAAATTATATGACTATCTCTTCTAGGTAATTGTGAGCCCTTGATGATTTTGAATGAAGGGTGATTTAGAAAGATTTTTTTCAGCTCAGTCTTTCTAACTGTATTGTATATTTTACTGTAACTGTGGGTAGGTGGTGTAAGTATAGATGAATTTCCTTTGTAAACCATATTTAAAATTTTTAATCTCCCCTATTTAATAAGACAAAAGTTGCATTGATCGCATTAAATTCGGGCCTGAGTCAGCTGCCTGGTCTGTCACAAACCAGCTTTTTAAGTTTATAGATTTGAAGCATTCTGTAGAGTAGTTTTGTCAACCAGAAGCTTTTTTTTTCCACTAAAAAACCAGCAGTTGGGTTAATGGAAAACAGGAGGTAAGTTGTTGGGTTAGTCTCTGCAGGGTGGAAAGATCTCCCAGATAATATAACAGTTTATAAAGATCTGAATAGTTGAAGCAGGAAGAGAAGACTTATATTATCTTGTTTCTTAGGTAGATATTGTATTGGGTAAGAGGTCGTGGGTTGAATTCAATGGACTACATGGAAGTCATTAGTAAAATAGCTTCTGTTTATTGGGTACCACTTTGCATTGGACCTGTTCTAACTGTGGTATGTAAATCACTAACAGGCGAGTATAGTCCCTTTCAGCAGTGAGAAACATTTAAATGCTTTTCTGAACACTGCACAACCACAAAGCCAGGTTTTGAGAACTGTCAATGTTTCCAAAATCTGCTTGCTTTCTGCTATCATGTGCTTGAGGCTTAAGACAAAGTTAAAAGAATTTATAGTATTATTTGGTAGTTTCTGGACCTGGATCATCAGCCTGGAAAGTATCTAAAAATAAATCCCCCGTTTCCCTCTCAAGATTTTGATTTAGTGAATCTTGGTGGGTTCTGTGAGTCTGTATATTAAAAAAATCCAGGTGATTGTTGGTCATCAAACTTTAGTAACCACCAATCTTGTTAATGAAGAGATGAGATGTACTTAACTTCTAAGAGTTATATGCAGTGCATCTAGTCTGAGGTGACCAACACCCTAGGAAAAGACCTGCACAGTCCAGTACAGCAGGCACGCAGGCCACATGAGGCTGTTAAGCACTTGAAATATGGCTGGGCTGAATTGAGATATGCTGTAAGAGTAAAATACATTAGATTTCAAGGGTTTAATACAAAAAAAGGTAAAATAGATTAATAATTTTTATATTGATTTATATGTTAAGATTTTAGATTAATAAAGTACATTAATTTTGTCCTTTTTAAAATTTTCTTGATGTGGCTACTAACACATTTAAAATTACACATGTGGTTTGTATTATATTTCCTTTGGGCCAGCACTGTTTTAGACTATTCAGGAGAAGGCTTTATAATATAAGCCCAGGCACAGTGGCTCATGCCTATAATCCCAGCACTTTGGAAGGCCAAGGCAGGCGGATCATGAGGTCAGGAGTTCGAGACGATCCTGACCAACATGATGAAACCCTGTCTCTACTAAAAATACAAAAATTAGCTGGGCATGGTGGCTGGCGCCTGTAATCCCAGCTACTCGGGAGGCTGAGGCAGGAGAATTGCTTGAACCCGGGAGGCGGAAGTTGCAGTGAGCTGAGATCATGCTACTACACTCCAGCCTGGGCGACAGAGCAAGACTCTGTCTCAAAAAAAAAAAAAGGCTTTATAAAGGAGGTGCAGTGGGACCAAGGCCCTCCTCAGAAAAAAATGAAAAGGATTCCATACTAGAACAGATGTGGAAAGAATGGGTAAGGACAAAGGAATGTTTAAGATATGCTCTGCAGAATACTCTTTAGAATGGAGGGGTTCATTTATAAGAGTATTGGCACTTTGGGAGGCCGAGGCAGGCAGATCACGAGGTCAGGAGATCGAGACCATCCTGGCTAACACGGTGAAACCCCGTCTCTACTAAAAATACAAAAATTAGCCTGGCCTGGTGGCGGGTGCCTGTAGTCCCAGCTACTCGGGAGGCTGAGGCAAGAGAATGGCGTGAACCCAGGAGGCGGAGGTTGCAGTGAGCCAAGATTGCACCACTGCACTCCAGCCTGGGTGACAGAGCAAGACTCTGTCTCAAAAAAAAAAAAAAAAAAAAAAGAGCATTGGTGATCAGGCTAGACAGTTATTATTATGTTATGTTTCAGCCATATTCCGAAATCTTTCGAATACCTCATTTGATTCTTGCAACAATCTTATGAGATGGGTACTCTTGTTACTCATTTTACACTTAATGAAAGGCTTAGAGAGGTTATGTAGTTTGCCATTAACAGCCAGCAGGTAGTAAAGGTAGGTTTCACATTGGGCATTGTGACTCCAAGACTCACCCTTTACCCTCAGGGTTGTGCTACACAAAGATGTTTTGGCCATCCTTGTTGTTGGCCCTAATTAGAGGAAGAAATGGAAAGGGCCCATGTTTCATCCTAATTGATAAAAAGTTTGATATACTTTAGTATTACTAACGATTTAAATTGCTACTTTGTAAGGTTTTAAGACATTAACATGTTTAACATGTTTTAAAACATTAACATCAAGACTGATGATTGAAATGCTAATTCTGCAGAAGTGTCTGGTCTTTGGAATAGAAATCTTTTTTTCTTTCAATTCAACATTTGTAAGTACCTGCAGAATACCTGGCACAGTGCTAGGAGAAGGATTCAGAGACGAATGTGACACATTTTCTTCCTTCAAGGTGTGCTCATAAGTAAGCCATTTATCATTTATGTATTACACTACGTGTTGAAATACTCTGAAAAAATTTTTTTTTTTTTTTTTTGCTGATGTACTTTTCCCCTTTCAGCCAGTAAAAAAGAAGAAAATTAAGCGTGAAATAAAGATTTTGGAGAATTTGAGAGGAGGTCCCAACATCATCACACTGGCAGACATTGTAAAAGACCCTGTGGTGAGTATAGTAGGTGTTAGCAAGGCCCGCCAGAGCTGAGATGGTGTTTGACCTGGAGCACAACTGGCCTCTTTTTGTTCCCTCCCCCAACCCTCATCATTAAGTCCTGCTTTGAAAGTGCTTAATCAGATATACCATTTAACTAGCTTGGGTCTTTCTTTCAAAGAGACCTCCACCCACAGACTATTTCTTATTCTTCTAGGCTAAGAGACTGATAGCACTGGAAACTGAAATGTGTTAATCCATTTTGCAAACTCAGGTCCGATGCCGATGGGCGATGGGCGCATTGTCGGGCTGCCTAGAGCCTGGTGAGACTTCAGCTCCATGTCTTCTGTTTGAAATCCATCCCAAAAATGACCTAAGTGCGGTGATGATCAGAGCGGGGAGGGCTTGTAGCAATAGAGGGTTTCTTACTACTGAGGCGAGGACTGCCAAATTTCACCACGCAGCATCCGCAAACATTGTCCCCATTAAAGCTGTCAGGGCTATTGCTAATGTGTGTTTTTGTTTTTGTTCTTTTCCCCTAGTCACGAACCCCCGCCTTGGTTTTTGAACACGTAAACAACACAGACTTCAAGGTATAATATATAACCAACTGTTTCGGGCTAGTGGGTTTTTAGACCACATAGCCTTTGGGGATGATGCTGTTAGAAGAGCTTGCTTCGCATTTGTTTTTAAAAAGCTTTTCATCCTTACAGTGCAAATTTTAAGATAGAAGAACTCCTATATAAGCAGTGCCCACTTTCTGCATCTTGATATTTTGCCCATTTGTTTAATGTTCTTTTTAATGACCAACACATTGACTTCTCACTACTTAGTTGACAGTTTCTGCTGATGTCCAACCTAATGAAGGCAGTAACACACGTTCACTTAGGATCTGGCCATATGGCAATTCGCTTTAAACAATAGTGTTCAGGAAGAAATATATTGTATGTATAAAAGTAGGGACTGCTTATTTCTTAGGATTCCTCATAAACTGTGGGCTATAGATCTTAAAAGGCAGGGATCGAGGAAGGATAATGTCAAATTCTGCCATAACACAAACCTCTATAAGAGATATCTCAGAATTCCAGTCTATCCAGTGGCCTACTTATTTCACACAGTTCCAATTTTACAGAAGAATATAGCTACTCTTTTGGAGTAAAAGTAAAAATCTTCGATTTGCCTTTCCACCAGTCCAGTATCCAGAATGTTATATATTAATAAATTAGTGAATTCTGTTGCAGAGATAGGGAGAAAGGAAGAGGAACTGCTTTAGAGTCAGAATGATAATTTCAAGAAAAACTTTGTCAGAAGACGTTGCTAACCATTAAAGAGACGTACCTGTGGCTGGGCATGGTGGCTTTCGCCTGTAGTCCTAGCTACTGGGGAAGCTGAGGTAGGAGGATCGCTTGAGCCCAGGAGTTTGAGGTTGCAGTGAGTTATGATTGCAGCACGGCACTCCAGCCTGGGCAGCAGAGTGAGGACCCTGTCTCAAAAAAAAAAAAAAAAAAAAAAGATATGTCCATGTAAAAAACATTCTGCAACTCTTTGGAAACTGGAAAGGATACATAACAGTTGTTCAGAGTTTACTTTCCAATTGGAACAAGAATAGTTTTGTTAAATTGACTCAACAGGTTTGGTATCATGCCATCTGCATACCCACTGGTGATCTGCAGGGCCAACTATGTAAGGCAAAGATGAGTTAGTTCCCTACTAAGGAGGCAGTATATTTGCCAAAATGCCTCTTTTGAGAAGGTCTGAAGATACATGAAAAGCAAACTAAATTATAGGTGGGTGTCAGTGCATATTAACGTATCTAGATCAGTATGTTTCTGACAGTGGATTATAGCTTCCGCAATATATGTTTAAGTAATTCTTCATTTTTAAGAGTTGAAGACCCAAAGTATCTCTTTAAAGTTAATGTAATGTTGGAGAAATAGAGGGCAGTGAATGGACAGATCTTGGAACAACGGTAAATGAGCCAAGTCTTGGTTTGAATTACTGTGAGTGAGGGTGAAAAATGCCTTTCTGTCAGCATTATTTCATGGCTCAAACATTTGTCTTTAACAGCAATTGTACCAGACGTTAACAGACTATGATATTCGATTTTACATGTATGAGATTCTGAAGGTAAGTGAACCTTGAATACTAAATATTTTTTAAATTGGTCTTCTTTTTGTTAAATAGTCAATTGATGGTAGAAAAGCCAGCAGATTAACTTTGTAAAGTATGTTGAAAGAAGGGACCTCTATATAAGTTTTTAATAAGTTAATAGTATCATACCTGTAATCCCAGCACTTTGGAAGGCTGAGGCAGGAGGATTGCTTGAGGCCAGGAGATCAAAAGACCAGCCTGGGTGACATAGTGAGATCCCCATCTCTACAAAAAAAAATTGTTTAATTACCTGGGCATGGTGGTGTGCACCTGTAAGTCCCAGCTACTTGGGAGGCCAAGGCAGGAGGATTGCTTGAGGCCAGGAGATCAAGACCAGCCTGAGCAACATAGTGAGACCCTGTCTCTACAAAAAATTTAAAAATTAGCTGGGTATGGTGGCTTATGCTTGTAATTCCAGCTACTTGGGAGGCTGTGACAGGAGGATCTCAGGAATTTGAGGCAGCAGTGAGCTATGATTGTTGCACAGGCTGGAGTGCAGTAGCACAGAGTAAGACCCTGTCTCTAAATACATAAATAAATAAAAATTAATAATAATAGTATCAGAACCCTTGTGCTAAGGGTTATGGAATGGGGTCTAGTGGGAGTATAATTTAGAACAATTTGAAAAAGGGTATTTGTAAGATAGCTGGGACTGACCCCTTAACAAATATTTGTAATTTCTGTGGCCCCTATGTAAGTTAATATTAAATTTTCAAAACTCGTGAAAACACCTGACGTGCTAGCTTCTGGTATACTTTATCTCACTTAAGAGTCAGCAAATAAAACAGTAAACTTTAACTCAGTTCTCAAAGGGTAATTGTCCTAAGGATTGTGTAAATTTCTGCTTATAGATGCTAATTGAAAATTTACTTACATTTCTAAAGTGGGGTCACCAAATATCTTGTTCCCAGTAGCCACAAGATCAGCTTCCTAGAAGAGAGAATTGCTAAAAGTTGGCTAAGCTTTCTTACTAAACAAGAGTTGACATAAAGCCTGCTGTTGGAGCCTTAGAAATCCCCTGAGGAGATTGTGCCAGCAGAGATACTTGATCTTTCCATTGGCTCATGCAGTTTGTGGCAAGCAAGGCTTTAGAAAGTTACAGATATGATTGCCCAGCCCTGGGAACTGTAGGAACCCAAGTTGCCCTTCAGGAAGGACAAGAATTTGGCCAACAACGTCGGCTGACTGAAAGGCTGGGATTAACAAACCCCAAAGATTATACTACTCAGTTCCCTTTAGTTTGAGGTTGGAAACATTTCAGATTGGATTTGATGACCTAAATCAGGCATTGGCAAACTTCTTTAAAGGGCCAAATAGTAAATATTTTAGGCTTTGTGGGCCATGTAGTGTTTGTCACACTATTCAAGTCTGCTGTTGTTGCACAAGAGCAACCATAAACAATATGCAAACAAATAGGCATGGCTATGTTGCAATAAAACATTATTTACAAAAGCAGACATCAGGCCAAATTTGGCCTGTGGTCTGCCAACCTCTGTTACAGACTCTTAATGGCTAAAGAATTACTGTTCTTAGAATAAGAGGTTTGTAGTAAAGATCTGTTTTCTTTCTTTGAGGGGTCTGTGGAAATAATCTAGGATCTGGACAAGACAGAAAAATTTGAAGTGGTGCAATTTGGGTATACTTTGGGTCTTTTAGGACAGAAAACATGTTGAAACAACTGTGTCAGAAAAAGATCTCTAAGCTCAGAGAGCTGAGTTTGCTTGACTGTGAGATCATGAACAAGTCTCTGAAGCATTGCTGTGGAAGTGACTGTGTCCTCAGCTTGAATCCCAGGGGTATTGTGAGGCTAAAAGGAAAATTTACATGGAGGGAAAAGTAAAGGACTCTTACGTATTATTCAGGCTAACTCCTTTCTGACCCGTTCATCCCACAGGCCCTGGATTATTGTCACAGCATGGGAATTATGCACAGAGATGTCAAGCCCCATAATGTCATGATTGATCATGAGCACAGAAAGGTAAAGTGATAGGCTGACAAGTGTTATTTATCTACATGATGTAGCTAATTGCCCATCTTCAACACTTTATCCCTTGTGTTGTCACAGGCCCTAGTACCTATTCGGCAGTTGAGAAATATTTGGTGAATGAATGTACGAATTTACAAGTCAACATGTTTGAACCATTATTTATATTCCTAAGAATATTCCCAAGAAGGAAACATGAGTAAAGTGGGCAAAATGTTCATCTTCTAAGCCCGGAAACGTGGCTTCTCGCCTTATTTATTGAGTAACTGGTTTCCTGAGAAACTACTTTCTCTCCATTTGCCTTCTTTTTCTTACGTGTACAGTGTGGGTAATAATAGCCCTGCAGGCGACTAGGTATTCGTGAGAATTAAATGTGCACAGTTAAGTGGACGAGATATACAGAAAATGCTGTTTCTGTTTATTGGATGTCATAAGGGCCCTGTTGTCTGCAAATGCTTTTACATGAGAGCTGTAATGGCCACATGCTTTAGCATTTCAGTTTTTTAAGGTGACAAGCTGTGATGACTTGCCTGTTGTGGTCTCTGGGGAGGCAGGTGATTTATTTATGCAACTGAATTACTTTTAGACACACACCATGTCAGAGGCACCACCCTAGGGCTGGGGATATGTAAGTGAACTCAACATACAATAAATGCTTGTCTTTTAGGAGCTACATTTAGGGAGGCTGGTGGGATAGAAAGTTATTTTGATGTAGAAGAAAAAACGAATAGGGAATGGCAAGAGGGTATTTGCAGTTTTAAACCAGTTATAAGGGAAGGTTTCATTGGAAAGGTGACATTTTAGAGAGCACTGGGAGGGACCCAGCCATGCAGTCTTATGAAGAAACATGTCCCAAGGCAGAGTAAATAGCAAGTACAAAAGCCCTTCAGGTAAGGATATGTTTGGCATGTTGGAAGAGCAGCAGCAAGGATAAAGCTGGGACAGAATGAATGCGGGGAAAGAAGGAGGAAATGAAATCAAAGAGGTAAAACCAAATCATGTAAAACCTTATTGGTCATTGTTAGGCCTTTTCTCTGAAGATAGAGAGCTTTTGCATATTCTAAGCTTTAGCATGTTCTCACTTGAAATTTAAAAGTTAACTACACATTTATTAGAACAGCTAAAATAAAAAATAGTGATGGTACCAAGTGCTGGCAAAAATGTGAAGAAACTTGATCTCTCATACATTGCTGGTAGGAATGCAAAGTTTGGCATTTTGGAAAATGCTTAACTATTGTTTTATAGTTGGTTGGTTTCTTGAAAAGCTAAACATATGCTTACCATACAATCCTGCAGTGGCATTTATCTCAGAGCAACAAAATCTTAGGTCCACACAAAAGCCTATATATGAATGCAACTATATTTGTAATAGCTTAAAATTGGGGGGAAAAGCTGGGTGCAGTGGCTCACACCTGTAATCATTTTGGGAGGCCAAGGCAGGCAGATGACGAGTTCAGGAGTTCAAGACCAGCCTGGCCAACATGGTGAAACCCTGTCTCTACTAAAAAAATACAAAAATTAGCCGGGCCTGGTGGCATGCACCTGTAATCCCAGCTACTCAGGAGGCTGAGGCAGGAGAATTGCTTGAACCCCGGAGGCGGAGGTTGCAGTGAGCCGAGATCGTGCCACTGTGCTCCAGCCTGGGTGACAGAGCGAGACTGCGTCTCAAAAAAAAAAAAAAAAAAAAATGGGGAAAAGTGCCCTTCAATGAGGGAATGGTTAAACAAACTGGCATATCCATACCATATAATATTATTATGAAGTAGTATTTCTCAGCAATAAAAAGGAAAGAAGTATGACACATGCAACAACTTGGATGGATCTCATGCTTAGTGAAAAAAGGCAGTCTCAAAAAAAGTTATATGCCAATGACTCCATTTTTGTAGCATTCTCAAAATGATAGAGATAAAGAGCAGAGGGGTTGCCAGGGGTTGGGCTAACACACAGGACATGTGTGTGGTGATGGAACAGTTCTATATCTTGTTGAGGAGATTATATCAACTTACATATGTGATGAAATTGCATAGAAACACACACACAAACACATGCGTGCATGTAAAACTGGTGAAACCTGAATAAGATCTTTCTGAATTGTGCCAGTGTCAGTTTCTTGATTTTGATATTGTACTGTAGTTATGTAAGATGTTACTATTAGGGGAAACTGGGTAAAGGGTGCAGAGAATCTCTACTACTTTGGCAATTTCCTGTGAATCTATAATCTCTCCATAGCAACCTGAACAATCCTTTTAAAAAGCTGTTTATATTTATTTTTAAATATTTAATTATTTTTAAAATAACTATTAAACTATTTAGTATTTATTAAACTGTTTAGACTAGAGGGCAAGAGTGAAAGCAGTGAGACCAGTTAGGAGAAGGGGCTATGGCAATATATCAAACAAGAGGTGGTGGTGGCTTGGATCGGGGCAGTGGCAGTGGAGGTGATGATAATGGTCACAATATGATAGAACCTTCAGAATTTTTTGACAGATTAAATGTGAGGTCTGAGGGAATCAAGAATCCAGGGTGAATCTTAAGTTTTGGCTTGTATGACAGGATGAGTATCACCTTTAACCGAACAGGGGGAGACTGAGTGGAGGTGCTTTTGCAGGGAGTAATCAAAGGTTTAGTTTTGAGATACAGGCAGTAAACTTAGTGCCAGAGCAGTCCGATGTTTTTCCTCAGGGCCTACTGCTGGCACTTCAGATCATGGTCATGCTATGCACAGTGGGCAGATAAGCTTGCCTCTTACCCCTTTTTCCATGTTTAGGATGCATTTTGGTAAAAGCTGTATTGTATGACTTTTCTGTTATTTCATCTATCCAGCAAATATTTATTCATTTTTCTCCTGTATACCAGGCATTATGTTGAATTCTGAAAATTACAAAGGTGAATAAAACAGTCCCTACCCCTAAGGAGCTTGTCGTCCATATTGAAAAAGAAAGGTAGAAAACATAAAGAGTTTAGGTTCTGTTAAAGAAATATATCTAAAATTCAGGGGGCTGAAGGCAATGATCAGACTTCATTGAGAAGCTGACTTAAATATTCCAAAAGTTAAGGAAATGCTTACCAATAGGATTATAGGCTGGGTAGTAGGGACATTTTAGTCATTGAGCAGTTTAAGAAATTTGTAAAAGCACAGGTGAGATTGTGTCTTCCAGGAACAAAATCATGGAGAAAGAGGTTTGTCAAGCTAAGAAGTTTTATTTTCATTCTAAAGGCTATAAGTAGTCAGTGGAGGGGTTTCAGTAAAGAGTGACGTGTCTGGTATATTTTATCAAGAGTATGCTAATGGCACAGTGTGGGTAGCTTAGAGAAAGATAAGATTGCTCATGGTTTATTCTTTTTCAGCTACGACTAATAGACTGGGGTTTGGCTGAGTTTTATCATCCTGGCCAAGAATATAATGTCCGAGTTGCTTCCCGATACTTCAAAGGTCCTGAGCTACTTGTAGACTATCAGGTAAGAACAGAAGGGCAGGCACAGTTTTGATCCTGTGTTTATTTCGCACATAATTTACCAAAAAAAAAAAAGTATCATTTTGTGCATTTAGGTAGGCCACTTAATGCACATTCACAGCTGTCCTTTTTATATGAAATGTAAAATATAAATCACCTTAATTCATGTACCATGACTTACATTACTTTTATTGTCATAATGTCGGTAGAATATGAATAGGTTTGCATTTGATCCTGACTTGAGGGAAAGTAGCCAAAGATATGTTCTATAATCAGCAGTTCCAGAACTGTTTTGAATTGTAAGCTGTTTTGTTTTTGTTTTTGTTTTTGTTTTGAGACGGAGTCTCACTCTGTCGCCCAGGCTGCAGTGCAGTGGCATGATCTCGGCTCACTGCAAGCTCCGCCTCCCAGGTTCACACCTTTCTCCTGCCTCAGCCTCCCAAGTAGCTGGGACTACAGGCACCCACCACCACCCCAGCTAATTTTTCTTGTATTTTTAGTAGAGACTGGGTTTCACTGTGTTAGCCAGGATGGTCTCGATCTCCTGCCCTCGTGAGCCACCACGCCCGGCCTTTTGTTTGTTTTCTGAGGCAGGGTTTTGCTCTGTTGCCCAGGCTGGAGTGCAATGCCATGATCATAGCTGACTGCAGCCCCGAACTTCTGGGCTCAAGTGATCCTTCCAGCTTAGCCTCCTGAGTAGCTGGGACTACAGGCGTGCACTACCACACCCAGCTAATTTTTAATTTTTTTGTGTGTAGAGAGAAAGTCTCACTATGTTGCCCAGGCTGATCTCAAACTCCTGGGCACAACCCATCCTCACACCTTGGCTCCCCAAAGTGCTGAGATTACAGGCATGAGCCACCATGCCCATCCTGTAACTAAGTTTAACCAATCTTCAGAGTAAATTCAAGAATGTTTTCTTGTTCTTCTGAATTGTATACTAAATAAAAAGGTCTTCTCCCCAGCTCCCCCAAAAAGCCTTCTTTCTCCTCACAGAAAAAGGAGAAAGGAACCAAATTAATAATAGATTTGCCAAGTGTTTAAAAATCTGAAGTTTTCTTGGGAGTATCTTTTATGCCCAGTCTTTCCAGGTTATTATCAGTTGATTTTAAAAGTTTCAGACTTTTTGTTCTTGTAGGAATTTCTTTCTTGGGGTCTTAAGGCTATAGCCCTGAGTTCAAAAAGCATTTTATGCATAAAAATAGTTTTTACAGTATTACTAATAATTGTGAAAAACAGAACACTGTCCTATTATAGGAAAATTAAAGATTGAATTCTGAAACATTTATGTAATAAAATACTAATGATACACATTAGATGGTCTCCATGGGCTAACAATTTGGAGGTTTTTTTTTTTTTTTTTTCATGTAAGTGAAGAAAACAATTCAAAATAGTATGTATATTAGCTGAGCATAGTGGTGTATGCCTGTAATCCTACCTACTCAGGAGGCCTAAGCCCAGGAGTTGGAGGCTGCAGTGAGCTATGATCACGCCACTACACTCCAGCCTGGGCAACAGAGCAAGACCCTGTGTCTTTAAAAAAAAAAAAAAAAGAGCCAGGCACAGTGGCTCACGCCTATAATCCCAGCACTTGGAAAGGCCAAGGCAAGTGGATCACAAGGTCAGGAGCTCAAGACCAGCCTGGCCAAGATGGTGAAACCCTGTCTCTACTAAAAATACAAAAAAATTAGCCAGGCGCGGTGGTGGGCGCTTGTAATCCCAGCTACTCAGGAGGCTGAGGCAGAGAATTGCTTGAACCTGGGAAGCTGAGTTGCAATGAGCCAAGATCACACCCCTGCAGCCTGGGCGACAGAGCAAGACTCTGTCTCAAAAAAAAAAAAAAAAAGTAAAAATTGTTTTAAAACCGAGTGAAAGATGCATAAAAGAAAAAACTAAAAAAAAAACTAAAAAAAAAAAAAAAAGAAAAAACTAGCCAGGCACGGTGGGTCATGCCTGTAATCCTAGCACTTTGGGAACCTGAGGCGAGCAGATCATGAGGTCAGGAGTTTGAGACCACTGGCCAACGTAGTGAAACCCCGTCTCTACTAAAAATACAAAATTAGCCAGGCATGGTGGCACGCGCCTGTAGTCCCAGCTAGTCAGGAGGCTGAGGCAGGAGAATTGCTTGAACCCGGGAGGCGGAGGTTGTGGTGAGCCAAGATTGCGCCACTGCACTCCAGCATGGGCAGCAGAGTGAGACTCTGTCTCCAAAAAAAAAAAAAAGAAAGACTAAAAAGAAATATATGAAGATGTTATTAGTGTTTTGATTTTGAGTCAGTGGAGTGATTTTTTTTTAATTTTAAAAATTAATTTTTTATTTTGAAGTGACAAGCCTGAGGATTCACAGATAATAACAGTGAGTTTACTTTTATGCAGATGTACGATTATAGTTTGGATATGTGGAGTTTGGGTTGTATGCTGGCAAGTATGATCTTTCGGAAGGAGCCATTTTTCCATGGACATGACAATTATGATCAGGTAATATATGTTATACCCATTGAAAAATGTACTGGCCTAATGCAATGATAGCCAGCACTGCCTGTAACTTTCAGTTCACTGTTTATTCAGCCACCCCGATATTGATCCTTAGATTGATGTTTCGGGAGCTACCAGCTTAGCCTTTTGAAATCAGACATTCCCCCCTAGTCTTTGTCATTTGCATTGCTTATTTTATTGTGAAGAATACATATAAATTGTCATCCAGATTTTTAAAATAGGACATTACCTTAGAATTCTCCTAATAAACCCTTATCTCCAATATGGTGTTTTCTCCAATATGTGAGCCCATATGTGGTATTTCTGTGATCCTTTTGGCTCTTTATATGGGTTGAGTTACAGATGTTTCTTAAACTAACTCCACTTCCCCCTTGAAGATCAAAGGGCTCTTTCATTCACAAGAACCTGGAATGATTCTAGGACCTTGTGGAAGGTACCATTGTCTTGTTCCCTTTGAGCACCATGTCCAATTTTAATGAGTCAAAGAATACAACCTGAATTCCATTAAAGTCAATAACTCTGTATCAAGTGCATGCAGTACTGAGGAATACAGAAAAAAGAAAGAATAGTTTTCTTCCCCTCAGATAGTTCATAGCTGATCTTGTAAGGGAGTCAAACATACAACAAAATAGGTTACAGTCATAACTTCAGAGTAGAAATGTGGACAAGGCACAAAAGGCAGTAGTGGTGAGTAGTTTGAGTGTGCAATGGGAGCTTCCCAAAAGAAGTGACATCTTCAATTGGGTTTTGAGGGGAGAAAAATAAGGGTTCACCAGGGTGACATTTCAAGAGGAAGAAACCAGTTTATAAAGTAGTTTGCTTTTTCTAACACTATCACATTGAGTTGAAGTCTAAACTGTTAGGAGGTAGCATTCATACCTGTAGACATGATGACCCGTTTATGTAAATTCAATCATTGTTAATTGTTGATTTGTTAATATAATATGCTTGTGATATGGGTTTTTGTCTTTCTTTAATACTAGTTGGTGAGGATAGCCAAGGTTCTGGGGACAGAAGATTTATATGACTATATTGACAAATACAACATTGAATTAGATCCACGTTTCAATGATATCTTGGGCAGGTAAGTCATGAAACAAAATATGTGCATCTGTGGCTTAAGCACTTTGAGAGTGAACTGGCACTTAGGATCTTCAAAATAGTTATGTTTTCTTTGCCAGCACTGTCAGGATGTCAGTGGTCCAGTGCCACAGGATGCTGCATTGAGCAGGCCTCTGATAAAGGCATTGGATTGAATGGCCCTTTATTCAAATTAACTTACAGGAGTCTGATGGAGGGGTTATAGCTAGAGGATTCCTACAAAATGAATGTAGATTCTAGTAGAAGGGTTACAGTTGAGGCAAAAATCAAAATTTACCTTGCTTCTTTAAGTGAAAAACCTCTCTCCAAGAGAAAGAAATTGAAGTAGAAAATGCATGCTTTAAGACTGATGTGCAGGCTGGGCACGGTGGCTCATATCTGTAATCCCAGAACTTTAGGAGGATCACTTGAGCCCAGGAGTTGGAGACCAGCCTGGACAACATAATGAGACCCTCGACTCCATGCATGGTGATGTGTGGCAGTAGTCCAGACTACTAGGAAGCTGAGGCAGGAGCTTCCCTTGAGCCCAGGAGGGAATGCTACAGAGAGCAATGAACATGTGGCTGCGCTCCAGTCTGGGCAACAGAGTGAGACCCTGTCTCCAAAAAAAAAAAAAAAAAGGCTATATGCAGACAACCGACTCTTAACAGTAGTGACTAGATATAGTACTTATACACTTAACCACTCAACAGGAGGAGATGGACTTTCCTGATGCAAAGGCTTTTGCTGGCCAATTGGCAGAGATGCCAGGAATATGTGTGGGGATGGGAAATAGGCCTGGTGAGCTCAGCCACCTGACCCTCCTTGCTACACAGAAGCGGTCACGTCCTGTCAAGTAACCTGAATTATGTTTCTTAAAATTGAGAGGACTCAGATGTCTTTTTTCACTCTAGCTATGTTGTTTCCAGTCTCCAGTTAGCTTTGTTGTCCCACTCAGTGGCAGAGCGGTGCAAGACTACCCTCTTGAGTTTGGATCCCTCTTTGCTTTTGTCTGGGCTGTTAGCCACTAAGAAAAATGTAGGAATGAAATGTTGGGCTTCTGTGCCCACGTGGCCCATTTCTCATGCCCTCTTTTGGTCCTGCAGACACTCTCGAAAGCGATGGGAACGCTTTGTCCACAGTGAAAATCAGCACCTTGTCAGCCCTGAGGCCTTGGATTTCCTGGACAAACTGCTGCGATATGACCACCAGTCACGGCTTACTGCAAGAGAGGCAATGGAGCACCCCTATTTCTGTGAGTCCAGATATCTAGCCCACAGAGTTTGTGCAGGCGCAGAGTCCTATAGAACAGAGTCGTAATCCCAGCTCCTGTCAGCTTGCTGCAAAGTTAATTCACCCACACTGAGCCTCAGATTCTTCCAGTGGGGATAGTGATGGCAACTACATTGCAGAATTACTGGAAGAATTCTTCTGTAACAGAATACATGACACAAGAGCATTCCTAAATAAACTCTTTTCATACTGTGAGGATGACACTTCTCAGTGCCTCAGTCTGGAATGGTTGAATTAGAATACACAGCCCTGTATCTTTCCTGTCCCTAGTAATCATTCGTTGGAAAGAGCTAATGAGGCTTACAAATCTTAAAATTGTATGAACACCTTGACTTAGATTTGTGAGTATAGCCACCTGTGCCATCCTAAGTGAAAATACCACTGAGACCCACCCCATCTGCACTGTGATGTTAGCTGCAACATGACATTTTTCCTTCGGTGTGATGGTTTTGTACTGAATCATTTATACTTTTGCCCAATACCTGAAGCAGATAGATAGGCTGATTGGGATAGAGAATGTGGTCATAGCCCTAAGCTACATGGACCTATAGCTTTGGCCTACTTGGTACTGGGCTGTGGACACACTGGTAATATATTACCGTCTTTGCCGAGTTACAGTGTCTTGTCTCCATTAAACCTCAACAGGACCAGGGCTTCATTAAATTCGCTCTGCTATAAATAATTACCTCATCTTTCTACCATTTGATTGAAAGGTTAGCTTTTACCACAGTTTGATAGGAAAGCTATTTCTGCTTTTTACCACTTGTCTAATTCATGGTGAAGGCAATTGCCACCTTAAGTTCTTTGGGGAATAATGTAGAGTATATATAAATTGCAAAGAATGAAGCTGGCTGCTTTCAGGCTTCCAGACCATTAGTTTAATCTTTCAAGCAAAACAGAACCTAGCCTTTTTGTCTCTTTTCTAGACACTGTTGTGAAGGACCAGGCTCGAATGGGTTCATCTAGCATGCCAGGGGGCAGTACGCCCGTCAGCAGCGCCAATATGATGTCAGGTCAGTTCATTGGTAAATTTTCTTTAAAAAAATGTGGAAGTCAATTACTGTTCTTAGCTTTGTGGTCTGATTTCTTGTATACCTTCTCTTCTCCGTACTGGTGGCCTTGTGACTTTTTTTTAACCAGGTTTCAGCATGCTTGACATTTGGTATACTTTAGTGATACTGTCTTGAGTAGGGTATCCCCTTCTAGGCTAGAATCTCAGCATTCCTGGCTGAAAATTTTTGGCATAGGGGCTTGAAAGTGCCAAGCCATGAAAAGGAAAAATACACCATTTCATCTTATAGTTTGAAATGACAGTAGTTACATGGCCCTTAGAAACAATGTTAAGAAATGGGGTATAGAGGTGGGGTTTATACATAGGTGTGTATGTGTACAAGGACAGTTCCGTGACATGTGCCAGAGCAACTATAGAGTGCCTATCAGTTGTAAAAACATAAGTAAAATGGTTTTCCATTATTGGATCATTGTGACGCACAGTGAATTTTTATAGAGTACCCAGTTATTCCAAAGGAACTACAGGCACATAGCATAAGAATTATACATATAGGCAACATCCAAGTGGGTGCATATCTGGTAGTGAAGGCATTTACTTACATATCCTCAAATAATTGCTGTTGCCCTCCTCTTTTTTAAGAAAAGAACTAACTGCCTTCTAGAATTTACCCCTTGAGTATCCTACCTCTGTACAGAGTAATGTATATCCAAACTTACTTGTAGCCTTATTTGTAATAACAAAACATTGAGAATAGCTATCAGTAGGAAACTGGTTAAATCAGTTATGGTATATCCATTTAATGGAATGTGGTGCAGCCAGTAGAATAAGAGTTTCATGTTCTGTTAGATCTCCAACTCCAATATAATAATGTGAAATTTAAAACGCAAGATGCAGGGCCAGGTGCAGTGGCTCATGCCTGTAATCCCAGCACTTTGGGAGGCTGAGGCGGGTGGGTCACTTGAGGTCAGGAGTTCGAGACCAGCCTGGCCAGCATGGCGAAACCCTGTCTCTACTGGAAATACAAAAAATTAGCTGGGCGTGGCGGCGGCGCCTTTAATCCCAGCTACTTGGAGGCTAAGGCAAGATAATCGCTTGAACTTGGGAGGCAGAGGTTGCAGTGAGCCGAGATCGCACCGTTGCCCTCCAGCCTGGGTGAGAGTGAGACTCTGTCTCAAAAGAAAAAGTGAGATGCAGAGCCATGTCTAAGAGGAGTGGAGAAGAATGTATAATAATGTTCTCATATATATATATATATATATATATATATTTTTTTTTTTTTTTTTTTTTTTTTTTTTTTTTTTTTTTTTTTTGGAGACAAGGTCTTGCTCTGTGGCCAAGGCTGGAGTGCAGTGGCACAATCTCAGCTGCTGCAGCCTCCGCCTCCCGGGTTCAAGCGATTCTCCCACCTCAACCTCCCAGGTAGCTGGGACTACAGGCGCCCGCCATGACGCCCAGCTAATTTTTGTATTTTTAGTAGAGATGGGGTTTCACCATGTTGGCCAGGCTGGTCTTGAACTCCTGACCTCAGGTGATCCGCCCAACTTGGCCTCCCAAAGTGCTGGCATTACAGGCGTGAGACACTGCACCTGGCCTTTGTATACTTTTTTGAACCTTTTGTATTTTGAACCATGTGAATGTATTACCTGTGTGTACACACACACACACACACACACACACACACAAAAACATGATTAGAGAGGTGGAAGAAATCAAATGGAAATAAATTCCAAAACACAATTTTATCTTAGAAAATGCTCTTTCCCCATTCAAATTGACTTTCAGTAATTTTGAAAGCTGCCAGCTATCAAGACAGCATGGTGTAAGAGCACATGAGCTTTGACTGCAGTCATGTGCTGTTCAGTATGGTAGTGACTAGCCACGTGAGGCTATTTAATTACAATTGAATAAAATTTAAAATGTAGTTCCTCAGTTGCACTAGCCATATTTCAAGTGCTCAGCAGCCACATGTGGTTGGCTACTGGTCACCAGGGTGGACATCTCTGCCCTAGACAGGCCTGGGTTAGAATCCAACCATGGTTGCCACTTGCTTAATCGTGTACTTTGGACAAACTCCTTAAATTGTCCAAGCCTAGATTTCTTTACCTGTCTCTTAAATTGATTAGGACTTGCCACTTTAACTTGAATTTGTGAGGGTCAGACTTGAAGTATATGTAAAAATCCAGCTAAGAGGAAGTCTTCAGTAAAGAATTATTGTGTTCCTTTTGCAGTGAGTGCTATGAGAAACTGGTAAGATTGCCATGGTTGGTGTCTTTGGCTCACTGACAGCTCTTTTCTTTCAGGGATTTCTTCAGTGCCAACCCCTTCACCCCTTGGACCTCTGGCAGGCTCACCAGTGATTGCTGCTGCCAACCCCCTTGGGATGCCTGTTCCAGCTGCCGCTGGCGCTCAGCAGTAACGGCCCTATCTGTCTCCTGATGCCTGAGCAGAGGTGGGGGAGTCCACCCTCTCCTTGATGCAGCTTGCGCCTGGCGGGGAGGGGTGAAACACTTCAGAAGCACCGTGTCTGAACCGTTGCTTGTGGATTTATAGTAGTTCAGTCATAAAAAAAAAATTATAATAGGCTGATTTTCTTTTTTCTTTTTTTTTTTAACTCGAACTTTTCATAACTCAGGGGATTCCCTGAAAAATTACCTGCAGGTGGAATATTTCATGGACAAATTTTTTTTTCTCCCCTCCCAAATTTAGTTCCTCATCACAAAAGAACAAAGATAAACCAGCCTCAATCCCGGCTGCTGCATTTAGGTGGAGACTTCTTCCCATTCCCACCATTGTTCCTCCACCGTCCCACACTTTAGGGGGTTGGTATCTCGTGCTCTTCTCCAGAGATTACAAAAATGTAGCTTCTCAGGGGAGGCAGGAAGAAAGGAAGGAAGGAAAGAAGGAAGGGAGGACCCAATCTATAGGAGCAGTGGACTGCTTGCTGGTCGCTTACATCACTTTACTCCATAAGCGCTTCAGTGGGGTTATCCTAGTGGCTCTTGTGGAAGTGTGTCTTAGTTACATCAAGATGTTGAAAATCTACCCAAAATGCAGACAGATACTAAAAACTTCTGTTCAGTAAGAATCATGTCTTACTGATCTAACCCTAAATCCAACTCATTTATACTTTTATTTTTAGTTCAGTTTAAAATGTTGATACCTTCCCTCCCAGGCTCCTTACCTTGGTCTTTTCCCTGTTCATCTCCCAACATGCTGTGCTCCATAGCTGGTAGGAGAGGGAAGGCAAAATCTTTCTTAGTTTTCTTTGTCTTGGCCATTTTGAATTCATTTAGTTACTGGGCATAACTTACTGCTTTTTACAAAAGAAACAAACATTGTCTGTACAGGTTTCATGCTAGAGCTAATGGGAGATGTGGCCACACTGACTTCCATTTTAAGCTTTCTACCTTCTTTTCCTCCGACCGTCCCCTTCCCTCACATGCCATCCAGTGAGAAGACCTGCTCCTCAGTCTTGTAAATGTATCTTGAGAGGTAGGAGCAGAGCCACTATCTCCATTGAAGCTGAAATGGTAGACCTGTAATTGTGGGAAAACTATAAACTCTCTTGTTACAGCCCCGCCACCCCTTGCTGTGTGTATATATATAATACTTTGTCCTTCATATGTGAAAGATCCAGTGTTGGAATTCTTTGGTGTAAATAAACGTTTGGTTTTATTTATCAAGGTTAGATTTAAGTTCCCTGTGTAAAGGTCTTGCTGGGTGGGTGTCTCATGTTCACATCTGAGGGGCCTGCAGCCCTGTACCGTGGAGGCTTCCCAAGGCCCCCATTTTATACACCCCTCGTTCGACCCATGGTACCGGGCAGAGCAGAGAGGCCTTAAAAAAAAAGCACCACAAGCCAAAGCGTCTCTGGGGATTAAGGATCCTTTGCCATAAAACTCATTTTGTGTCTCAGCAGTGCAGGGATTGGGGATGGAAAAAGTCGCCAGTTTTTGTGTGTTTGTGTGTGTGTGTAAAGTGGACTTTCCACTGTAATCCAACCACCTAAGTTTATCAGGTGCTTCACTGAGGAAGCCTAGTTTTTTAAGCACAATAGCAAAACCATCAGCTCTGTATTTTCTCCTGTTATTTCATTACAGTAGCTGCTTGTGGGAACTAGGAAAAATTCTTCCAACATATTTTAAGGCCTAAAATCTTAGTTCCCCATTCTCCTACCTTATAGATTCACAGGCCTTTCTCGCCTAGGCATCATAGATAAACGTAATTGTTTGGGGAGTTGAATTTAATGAACTTATCTAACTTTGTAACCCATCTTGGCTTTAGTAACTTTATCAAGGTGGTGGCTTTAGTGAATATAATGGTAAACTTTAGAGGACGCTAAAGCCTCCTTTTATAGCGCTTCTCAACGGTAGGGAGAGCTGAAGGGAAAACATTCTGACTGTGTGGCAGGGTGATTTTCTTCCTTATGACCACTTACAGTGGATATTTATTGTACTTGACCCTTTTATGCCCTAGAATGCTGTGAGGGTTACCATGTTGAATTTGTGCAGAAGCTAAAAGCACCAGATGTGCCAGAGATGCAATTTGTGATTATGTTTGCACTGGATTGTGATTTGAACAGGACACTTATAACTAATGAGTTCTTTCTTTTGAGGTGGGGAGAGGGTTGTAAATCAAGACTTCATACCCTATCCTTGTAGCTCGGAAATTGAGGTGTAGCTTAGGCTGATGCGGAGAGCTGCAGACAGCTGGACCTCCTTACACCCATCAGACCTTGGAATAAACCGAAGGTGAATGCAGAGGACTCTGAGGTGCCACCCAAGAGCCTTTTAAAATAAATAGAAGTTTTTAAAAATGCTACTTAAGAGTCACTGCAGAAGCATGGAGAGAGAGAAAAAAAAAAAAGACCCAATTGGGTGGGGGGTGGGGGGGAGGCAAGGGTTTACAGAGTAACAACTTACGTGTTGTTGTAAATTACCTCATCTGTATACCTTGTATTGGGACACTATTTCTCAGCACTACCTGTGTCTGCATTGCTTAGATGGCAGGAAATGGAATGGCCAACATGAAAGGTTATGTTGGCAATTACTCTGAAAGATTTTTTAAAGTATTTTTAAACTTTGTTTGAAGTGGTCCCTCCCCTCTTCCTCTGCTTTTTTTTAAGTTTGAAGCCAGAAGGCCCTCCCCACCTTGCTTTATTGGTTGTAATTGTATTGTAATTGGTATGACTAAACCATAACTGTGCTGGGAAGAAGTTGTGCCATGAAGGTCTTTAATTTTTTTTAATAAAAACATTTAAATAAATGAAATGTCCCTGCAGCCTGAGCAATATGCTTCTCCAACCGACACCGTGTGTGATAGATGGCTCCGTTTTCACGTTTTGAATTCTGTTTCTTGTACTTGAAATGCCTGTCCAGCTTACATAAGATAGATTAAATTGTTAGAGTGGGACTGTCAGAGGAATATATCTTGTAAAGTAGATCCTCAGGGTATGGCTAATTACTATAGTCCTAAAGTAGCAGAGAAAATTAGAGATTGGTTGACAGATTTGGGAATTTTAATTTCTTCTTAGTTTTTAACTTTCATCTTTGCTTCACCTTTTGACAAGTATGGTTATAATTAGAATTGACCATTTAAGCATCTCTTGAAAAACCTGATTTTGTCCCACCAGCAAATTCTCTCCCAAGACTGGAATTGGGTTTGCATAGTAGAGAGCCTGTCTTCCCAGGGCCTTTTCCTAGTTAAAGAAACACTTAACTAAAAAGGCTGTGTGGTAAGGTCATGCTCAGTTCCTTCCTCAAAAAATGAGTCTAAAATTGGTTTATCCTGAATCCGACTTCCCCCACTGTCATCACTTACCCTTGCCCTTCTTTTTCCTCAGAACACCTGAACTTTTGTTGTATTATTTTGTATCTCCCCACTTGCATGTAAACTCCCTGGTGACCTTGCATGTCTTATGCAATCCTCATTAAAACCTTTTGTTTTTTTTTTTAAGTGGGTTCGTTTTCCCTCAGGATCGAAGAGTATTGAATGGAATGGCACGAGGAAAATATTTAACACCCTACTTGGCTTGTAATAATAGGTGCTTAATAAATTGTAGTTCCACTCTCCACTCCATTGCCCCCTTTCTCTCCCTACACACACACACCCACCCACCCACACACACACACACACACACACAAAGTAAATGGAAGTATTGTTGCATAAAGAGCATCTCAAAATCCTAAGAACTTTGCCCTTGAGTTTGCAGCTATAATTACAAGCCACAGGCCAGACTGAACTAACATGACAAGTAACTTTATTTAATGAGACCCTGATAAATAGGTATCTGAAGACTAAGGAATGATCCTGGCCAATTTAGTAGACTTAGATGCTGCAGTCTCCCTGCTTTTCCCCTGCTGTATTACCTGTGTGTAATATAGGTTGAATATCCCCTATCCAAAATGGTTGGGACCAGAAGTGTTTTGAATTTTTTTGGATTTTTGGAATATTTGCGGAATACATACCAGTTCAATATTCCTAATCTGAAATTTGAAATATTCCAAATAGCATTTACTTTAGGCATCATGTTGATGCTTAAAAAATTTCAGATTTTTGAGGATTTTGTATTTTCAAATTAGAAATGCTCAACGTGTAATACGAAATTCAGACTATTCTCCAAGTAAAACATATGTAGATGGTGTCACAAGATGTTCTGGACTCAATCCTATGTAAATAAGTACTTCCTAGACTTTATAGCTCTCCTTTGATTCTGTGCTAAATTTAACCATTAGAGAAGCAATGTAATGTTACTGCAAGTGGTCTACCTCTAACAGAGTTCTGTCTGGCAGTGTGATTTTTTTGATCAGTTAACCTCTCTGAATCTTTTCTTCACAGGTGATTTAAATTGTTATTGTAAAACATTTTAGGCATGTACCAAATTATAAAGAAAGCTGTAACACATCCATAATCCTACCACCCAAGTTGAATTTCCATTGCCAATACAGACCAAGCCCCCTTTTTGCCCTTTTTTGGTGATACCCTCTTCTTCCTCCCTTCCCCAGAGGTCCCAATATTTCCTATCTGTTAAATTGGGGTATAAGTACTGATTTCATAGAGCGGTTGTTCAGATTCTATGACAGATGCCTGGTATATGGTAGAGTTACACCAAATGTTGGTTTCTCTTCTAAATTGTACAGTTGTGCAGACTATGTACAGTAAAAGGATGCTACATTATAGGGAGGCCATAGATGTTTGCATTTGGAAAATTTCTGACTCTTTTCCAGCAGGTGGCAGTAAAGTGTCTTTACTAGAAGAAAAAATATCCAAGCATTAAACATGACAGGTTTTCAACGGGTACAAGTCAAGTTTCTGATTGAATGAAGGCCAGCATTGCCTTGTTCCCACTCCCTCTATGGAAAGCCAGATATTTTGCACTGTAGCAAATTACAAACTGGATTTGTCTCCCTGTCGCTCTACTCACTAGAAGTTTTTTGTTTGTTTTGTTTTTTGATACGGGTCTTGCTCTGTTACCCAGGCTAGAGTGCAGTAGCGCCATCACAGCTCACTGCAGCCTCAACCTCCCAGGCTCAGGTGATCCTCCCAACTCAGCCTTCCAGGGACTACAGGCACGAGCCATCATGCTTGGCTAATTTTTTTTTTTTTTTTTTTGGTAGAGATGAAGTTTTGCCGTGTTGCCCAGGCTGGTCTTGAACTCCTGAGCTCAACAGTCTACCCGCCTTGGCCTCCCAAAGTGCTGAGATTAGAGGCATGAGCCACCACACCTGGCCCACTAGGGATTCTTATTGGCCTCAATGTGAGAAGCCCTTCCCCAGGTACCTCCAGATGGAAGCTTACAGGATGGTCAGTCCATTTCTTAGAGAAGTTCCTGGGGGGATTGAGTATTTCTGAGTCAGCTTCACTCTTGCATCATCTGCTTTGACAGTTTTCTTGGCTCCTGTAATGAGAAAAAGGGAAAAAAATGCTGCAGCAGCTGGGGCTGGCTTCCTGATCCCACCCTGGGAATCAGAGTCTCAGCTATTGATAAACATTTCTAGCCATACCTAGAAGGAGAGGACCTTGCTTCTGTGTGTTGAACAGTTCCAAGAACTCCATGGTGAACTTCCTATGAAGAACCCTCCATAACCCTCAACCCTTCAAACCTGACGGTATACCTCATTTTGTTCTCCCGTCTCTGGCATTCCTCACCCACCCACGCTGACTGGTCTTTCCAAAGTTCATTTCTGTAATATAGGATGTCTTTGGTTTCAACAAACATTTGTAAGTGCCCCTGAGCCTGGTCTTTGCTATACACTGGGGATTGAGAGGTGAGACACAAGCCCATGGGGAAATGTATGTTAATTAGAAAAGTGAAAAAATTGTGTATATGGGATAATTCCAACTGTTTTAAAAAAAAAATCCTAGGAAAAATGCAAATGCCTATTTCAGAGAAAGAAATGGAAATCCCAAGGTGGCAAAAAGGAAGGCAGAATTCATCCTGAATGTAACTGGGGTTTTTTTGTTTTGTTTTGTTTTGTTTGTTTGTTTTGTTTTTGAGACAGGCATGGGATTACATGCACCACCACGCCCAGCTAATTTTGTATTTTTAGTAGAGACGGGGTTTCTCCATGTTGGTCAGGCTGGTCTCGAACTCCCGACCTCAGGTGATCCGCCCGCCCAAGCCTCCCAAAGTGGTGGGATTACAGGCGTGAGCCACTGCGCCCAGCCTAAGTGGGTATTAAAGTCAGTGCTTCCAAGACACTGGGTCTGGGTATAGGTGGGCCTCAGGCTATGGACTAGGGTTTGAATGCCCCCAGGGAGATAGGACACAGACTCCCGGGCTTTCTAAGATAGAAACTGAAACAATGCTGTGGCACTTGGAAAGGCTACAGGGGCAGGATTGAGGTGGTGGGGGTGGTAAAAACTAGAAGAATACTAGCTGTTGTTGCCTCTGGGTGATGAGGTTAAGATACCACGGAAGGCCCACACACCTGTGGTTGGAACACTTTGGGAGCCGGGAGTCCCAGACCAGCCTGGACAACATGGCGAAAACCCACCTCTACAAAAAATAGATTAGCTGAGTGTGGTGGTGTGCGCCTGTGTCCTAGCTACTGGGGAGGCCAAAGGACGAGAATTAATTGCCTGAGCCCAAGAAGTCAAGGCTGCAGTGAGGTGTGATTGTGCCACAGTACTCAAGCCCAAGTGACAGAGCAAGACCCTGTCTAAAAAGATTTTTTTAAAGTCACAGAAGCTGGGCGTGGTGGCTCATGCCTGTAATCTCAGCTCTTTGGGAGGCTGAGGCAGGAGGATTGCTTGAGGCCACGAGTTGGAGACCAGCCTGGGCAACATAGGGAGACCCTGTCTCTACCAAAATTAAAAATTAGCTGGATGTGGTGGCACATGCCTGTAGTGCTAGCTACTCTGGAGGCTGAGGCAGGAGGATCACTTGAGCCCAGGGGTTCAAGGCTGCAGTGAGCTATGATAGTGCCACTGCACCCCAGACTGAGCAACAGAGTGAGACCCTGTCTGTAAAAGAAGTTGTTATTAATTGAAAAAAAGATTTAACAGGCTGGGTGCAGTGGCTCACACCTGTAATCTCAGCACTTTGAGAGGTGGAGGCGGGCGACTCACTTGAGCTCAGGAATTCAAGGCCGGTCTGGGAAACATGATGAAACCCTCTCTACAAAAAATACACAGATTAGCTGGGCATGGTGGTGCATGCCTGTAGTCCCAGCTACTTGGGAGGCTGAGATGGAGGAATCAATTGAGCCCAGGAGGTTGAGGCTGCAGTGAGCCATGATTTCACCACTGCACTCCAGCCTGTGCAACATAGGGAGACCCCGCCTCCAAAAAAAAAAGTAACAGAAAAACTCACTAGGTGCCGGGCATGGTGGCTCACGCCTGTAATCCAACACTTTGGGAGACCAAGGCGAGTGGATCACCTGAGGTCAGGAGTTTGAAACCAGACTGAACAACATGGTGACACCCTGTTTCTACTAAAAAATACAAAAATTAGCTGGGCTTGGTGACGTGTGCCTGCAGTCCCAGCTACTTGGGAGGCTGAGGCAGGAGAATTGCTTGAGCCTGGGAGGTGGCGGTTACAGTGAGCTGAGATCACGTCAGTGTACTCCAGCCTGGGTGACAGAGCCAGACTCCATCTAAAAGTAAAAAAGAAAAACTCACTAGGAAGGAATCTTGAAGTCTTGGAGAAGAGAGAATGGTCCATGAGGCCTCAGAGGAGGGGCTGCCTGAACTGGCGAGGGAGAGGCCCAGCCTAACAAGTTTCAGCTGCCAAGGCCCATGCCTGGGATCAGAACCCTGTCTCCTGGCTCAATTTTGCTTGTGGGGCTGCTTTTGCACAGCTATGTTGCCAGGAATCTGTCCAGGTTCCTAGCCAGTCATTGCAGACAAATTTTTTCTTTCTTTTGCTTTTGTTCTCTGTCTAGTCTTAGTCTCACAAATTTCTAAGGCAACTGTATGTAGTTCAGCTGATCTAGATCAAGTTCAGCCCAAGCAGCTGTTTTTCAGGTTGTGGGTCGGCTGGGCTGGACACCTCCATGTGAATTGGATTCAGGTTTGCCCAATGTGGCAGAAGTTGCAGCAGCTACTCAGGGCGTGCTCTTCTCATGAATCACAGAAACTTAGAAGAGACCAAATGGAATCACACAAGCACATTTCAAGCCTCTGCTGTGTCACAAGCACCATCATCCCATTGGCGAAAGCAAATCACATAGCCAAGCCCAACATCAGTGCAGTAGGGAAGCATAGAGCCTGTGTTGGGAAAACTTTATGAGGTTATATGGCAAAGGGTGTGTATGTTTAGTCTTATTACAGGGGAATGAAGAAACAAACCAATAATGCAATCAGCCATACTATTCATATATATCAGTAGGAACAGAAGGCAACCACATATAACATCTATGTATATATATATGTGTGTGTGGAAAGGATTACACCAACTTTTTTTTTTTTTTTTTGAGTCAGAGTCTTAACTCTGTCACCCAGGCTGGAGTGCGGTGGCATGATCTCAGCCCACTGCAACCTCCACCTCCCAGGTTCAAGCGATTCTCCTGCCTCAGCCTCCCAAGTAGTTGGGATTATAGGCACATGCCACCACACCCAGATAGTTTTTGTATTTTTACAAAACAACAGGGTTTCACCATGTTGGCCAGGCTGGTCTGGAACTCCTGACATCAAGTAATCTGCCTGCCTCGGCCTCCAAAAGTGCTGAGATTATAGGCGTGAGCCACCGTGCCCGGCTGAGAATACTTGTTTACTTGTTTTCAAGCAACAAAAATTGAGAATCAGTCTTTGAGACTCCATGGCCAGAAACAACACAACATTCCACTATACACAGGGTGCTTCTGGGGGTCCTCGGTGTTGTGTTTATTGGGGTGGTACCTAAATGTTGTATTTGCTCTATAATTATTTGTTAAACTCTCCATTTACGTTTGGGGCACTTCTCAGTATATTTGCTAGAGTTCAAATGTTTAAAAGTTTACAAAATGAAAACTGAGCAGAGTAAGACAAGCCAAAAAAGTATTAACTCAGCAGGAATGGGAAAAGTTATGAAAGGAGGGAAAACTAAATATCATACTGCTGGTTCAGCTGTGATTAGAATTTACGTAGTCATAATGGAAACACTGAATACTGGTCTAACCAGGATTACAGTATGATGACAATGGAAAGAGGAGTGATGGGAAATGCTGGCATGTGTGGTGGTGTTGGTAACAGGACAAGCGGTCTAAGCTCTAAACTCTCATCATTTATAAGGGGAACTAATGCCTAAAACTGAAAAATCAAACAGTTGCATGTTATTTTGAGATTTTTTAAATTATTGTTAAGATAGTAGCAGTATTTACTTTTAAAACTATATTTATGTATTACTCTGGTGAAAAAGCAACTACTTTTAATAAATGGATATTTATCTTGAATGCATCCACTTCCTCCCATTCCCGTTGCCAAATTCCTCATCCCAGCCACCATCCTCTCTTGCTTGGAGTATCATAGCAGATAACTGGTCTTGATGCCTTCCCATCTCGTCTCAATTCCTGATTCATCTGACACCTGCAACCAAAGATCTTTCAAAAATAAATATTCTAGTCCAGGCACAGTGACTCATATCTATAACCCCAGCATTTTGGGAGGCCAAGGCCCGATGATCACTTGAGGCCTGGGTAACACAGCGAGTCCTCTGTTCTACAAAAAATGAAAACATTAACTAGTGTGGTGGTGTGTGACTATAGTGCTAGCTACTGGGGAGGCTGGGTGGGAGGATACGTTGAGCCCAGGAGTTGGAGGCTGCAGTGAGCTATGATCACATTGCTCTCAGTGAGACCTGGCTGACAGAGTGAGAACCTCTCTCTTAAAAATAATAAATAAATTTTATCTCAGTCCCTTGCTTAAAAGCCTTTCAAAGACTAGATCACTTGCAATGTTGTTGTCTCCTCCCAAGGGAGTCATTCCTCCCTTCCTCTTTGTTGACAGAGCCCCAGTTTGAGGGACAGCGGGATATCCACCATGCTGCTGTGAGACTCGGGCAGTTGTGACTGGTTTAGAAGTGGATACACAGGGAGAGGTCTTCTGGAAAAGGTCTTCTGGAGAGCTGAGATCAGAAGACAATCAACTGGCTTCAAATCTAAGGAGAGACAGGCACAAAATGGAAGAGATGACATGGGCACTGGTTACCTGGTAAACACAAGTGGACACTGGTGAGGGACTGGGTCATGGAGACTGCAGTAGTCTTTACCCTTTTCAGCGTTTTTCACCATGAACCCCACTGGGAGCACACAGAAGATTGGAGAAAGTTTTAATAAAATGTCTCAAGATCTGGAAGAAGACAATGGCAGCTACTGTGAAAGGATCACAGTGCTCCACCCAGACCCTTCCCTGTATCCCCTACCGGACAAAAGCCTTAGTCTGTGGAGGGAAGGACACCAAATCCTGTCACCCCCTTGGATGAAGCTCCCTTGCATCTGGGGGAATGAAACAGGAACAAAACAAAACTTTCCCTGGGCAGGGGCAGGAATACACACTGGGCCCAGAACTGGGGGAGGAACAGGAGCACTAAGGAGGACATAACCCCAAAATCAGAGACACAAAGGGCCTGACAGAGACTGAGACTTGATCAGAACAGAGAATTCCCTCCTCCCCCACCTGCCAATGGTAAGCTGACAAGCCTTGAGTTAGAAGTAAAAATGTTACAGGAGAGAGACAAGAGTATGGGAAGAAGACCCTTTCTGAGGGTCACAAAGGGAGGACCTAAAGCTGAGCAGGGAGCACACATGGAAGGAGAAAATCCCTCTGGCAGGCCAGCCTGCACCCTCAGTCCAAGGTGTCATTGGAGGAACTGGAAGCTGCTGCATTGGGGGTAACCATAGCAACAATAAACCTCAAACCTAGCCCAACTCTTTTTTTTATTTACTTTTTAGAGACAAGGTCTTGCTCTGTTGCCCAGGCTGAAGTGCAGTGGTGTGATCGCAGCTCACTGCAGCCTCAAACTCCTGGGCTCAAGCAATCCTCCTGCTTCAGCCTTTGTAGGAGATTGGTCAGGGTGGTGGGAGAAATTATAGGAAAGACACAAACCTTCTTGGAAGGCCGAGAGGTTTTGCAAAAGCTTCAGAAAGAAATTATGGCTGAAGGCAGCCAAATTCTTATCTGAAGCCTGAGAGCAAAGGGCAGATAACAGGGGAGTTGTATAGGAACTTACCTAGATAAATTTGTTTATTCCTGTGTCCAGAAACCAACCTTTGATCATTCACACACAGGACTGCTGTCTACTTGGGATGTTGACAATGTTTATTGCCCACAAATTGTGTTTGCTCCAAGCCTTTGTCATTAAATTTGTGCTAAATAAATGTGAGGGCCACCAGCTTAAGGGGACTGCTAACTCTCTTCGGCCCCTAGTGCTGGCAGTCCCCTAGCCTGCTCTCTCACTGAATATCTGTGTCTGAGTACTCCTTTCATCTGTCACTCGGCCAAAGTCTGTGGGACAGACTCGGCAGGTGATTCCCTGTGTGAGGAATGCTGCAACAGATCACGACGGAACCCTCGAAAATGAAGGTGAAGAGACTGCGCAGTCAGTAAGTCATTGGTGCCTGTTCAGCATTTCCAAGTTCAAAGGAATTGCTCAAGCTAGGGACGATCATCATGGGATGACAGTTGTCATCATGGGACAACAGTTGTCAGCTCAACAGCAACAGTATATAAAAGTAGTAAAACAAATGCTGAAAGTTAGCAGAGCCTCAGACAGGCTCAATTATGGGACCTAATGCAAACTGTTGTTTCCCATAACCCATGGCTCTCGGAAGAAGGTACACTAGACGTAGAGCTCTGGGAAGAAATTTTAACATCATGAGCAAGGGCAATGGGTCTCAGTAACATCTTTAACGTTATGGGCTTTAGTTAGGACTGCTTTGGTCCCACTCTACACAGAAAAGCCTAAAAAAGTAAGGGAGATGGAACCGTCACCTACCCTACCGTCTCCTCCTTCTCCCTCAGCCCAGCCATTAACAGGCAAAAATAACAAAGAGGAAACAGAGGTTTTGCCTGAGCCCCCTCCTCCAATAAATTGGAAAAAGACAAGGGATACACTACAGCTTTGGGACCCTGTCTTAGCCAAGCGGCATCAGAAGGGGAGCTCTTAGCCTGCCCAGTAATGCAAGATCGACAAGGCGATCAGGTATATGAACCCATTTCTTTTGACGCTTATAAAGAGATAAGAAAAAAACGTTAAAGAAAATGGAGCTGCTAGCCCATTTATGAAAGGAATAATTGAAGCCATAGCAGACAACTTCTTTTGACGCTTATAAAGTGGTAAGAAAAAGCATTAAACGGAGCCACTAGCCCATTTACAAAAGGAATAATTGAAACCATAGCAGACAACTTCCATATCACCCCATGGGACTGGTCAGTGCTAGCTAAAACAACTTTAAAGGCCAGTCAGTACCTCCTCTGGAGGGCAGAATTTGATAAATTGTGTGAACAGCAAACCTTTCTAATAATGGCCACTGTTATTCCTCCCCTACCCCTGACATGGCTCTCTCAAAATCCTATTTGGGTAAAACAGTAGCCTTTAAAGAGAGAGAAATTACAAAAAGCCCATGAATTAGTGGAAGAACAATTAAAAGCTGGCCATATAGAACTGTCAAACAGCCCTTGGAATTCGCCCATTTTCATCATTCCCAAAAGGTCTGGCAAATGGAGACTTTTGCATGACTTACAGGCTATCAATGCTAATTTGCAACCTATGGGGCCCCTTCAACGGGACCTCCCTTCCCCTTTGAGGCGATTCCTCAAGATTGGCCTATAGTCATTATTGACTTAAAGGACTGCTTTTATACTATTCCCCTTGTAGAACAGGACAGAGAAAAATTGGCATTTACAATACCAGTTATCAGTAATGAGAGGCCAGCTCGCTGATTTCATTGGAAAGTACTTCCTCAAGGGATGCTGTTCAGTCCTACCATGTGTCAGTATCATGTAAATCAGGCTTTGCTCCCCAGTAGAAAAGAATTTCCTAGTTGCAAGATTATTCATTTTATGGATGATATTTTCCTAGCAGCCCCAACAGAGCCAGTGCTTTTAAGTTTATATGCCTCTGTCATAAAGAATACACAGTTAAGAGGTTTAATCATAGCACCTGAAAAAGTACAATTGGAAATATCTTGGATACATACTAACTTCTGGTCAGTAAGACCTCAAAAGGTTAAATACTAGCGATTTACACACCTTAAATGATTATCAAAAGTTACTGGGCAATATTAATTGACTTCACCCCACGTTGGGCATAACTACTGATAAGTTACAAAACTGTTTTCTATCCTAAAGGGCAATACAGCCCTAGACTCTCCCAGGTATTTGACTCCTGCAGCAAAAAGGGAAATTGAGGAAATAGAGCAAGCTATTTCTCAGAGGCAACTATATCACATAGACACCCCGATAGTCAGTTCAATTGTTTGTTTTTCCTACTAAACATTCCCCAACAGTATTAATAGGAGAGATGACCCCAGGACTACGCTTCCTAGAATGGGTTTTTTGCTCACATACCGAGACTAAAACACTATCTTCCTATATCCAGCTAGTTAGTAAAGTCATCTATACAGGCCGCAGATAGTGCAATCAGTTGCTAGGTTATGATGTCATAAGAATTCCTTTGAGTAAAAGGCAATTTGGATCAGTATTGCCCCTATCTCTAGATCTTCAGATAGCAATCTCTGATTACACAGGCCATATAGAGCATGCCCTTCCTGCTGACAACGTAATTCAGTTCTTATCTCGTACTCCTGTAGTTGTGCCTACAAAAGTAGTTCACTCCCCCATACCCCAACACTTTAACACTTTTTACTGATGGCTCTGGTAAAAACAGAAAAGCGCCTGTTTGGTGGAGACTGCATAATTTCCTCACTCATTCTGGATTTACTAGCACTCAGAGAGCTGAGGTTGGAGCCTTAATATTGCCCCTGGAGAACTTTTCCACTCTGCCTATCAATATTAGTGACTCTGCTTACTCTGTTTATTTATTGCAAAACCTTAAAACAGCCCTCATTAAGTCCACTCTCAAGCTCACCCTGTGTGCACTTTTTCTTCAACTTCAGCAATTGCTGGATCAACGTACACATCCTATTTTTATCACACATATTCGAGCCCACAGCTCACTGCCTGGCCCACTGGCTTATGGCAATGAACAAGCAGACCTGCAAGTTATGATGTCACTGCTTCACCAAGCCATGCAGTTGCGTCAATTTTTCCACCAAAATTGAAGGAACTTAACTGAACAATTTCAACTTACCCAAAGACTAGCTAAACAAATTATCCTGCAATGCCCGGATTGCCAGCTCACAGGCATGTCCCCTCCTTCAACAGGCGTTAACCCTAGAGGACTAGAACCTAATCAGTTATGGCAAACAGATGTTACTCACGTCCCTGAATTTGGAAAACTAAGATATGTACAAGTATCCATTGATACCTATTCTCACCTAATTAGCACAATGCTCTTCCTGGAAAGTCCACCTGATATGTTATTAAACTCTTCTCTTAACTTTTGCATTTATGGGGCGGCCCACAAAAATTAAAACTGATAATGGTCTGGCTCATGCCAGCTCACAATTTCAACAATTTTGTCACACGTGGAACATCCAGCATTCCACAGGCATCCCGTATAACCCCCAAGGACAGGCCATAGTAGAACGTGTCCACTCTTAAAAATATGCTCAAAAAACAAAAAAGGGGGAGTATGAGTAAGGACCCTGCAACACTACTAGCAAAAGCCTTATTTACCCTTAATTTCTTAAATTTAAATGATAAATTTCAATCAGCTATAGAAAAGCACTTTGCTAAAACCTCTCAAGACATAAAACCCACAGTTTTATGGAAAGATGTAAACAGTAATGTATGGTGTGGTCCAAATGAGTTGCCAACATGGGGAAGAGGATATGGTTGTGTTCACATCACCTCAGGTCCTCTTTGGATTCCAGCACAACGCATCAAACCTTAACATGGTGTGGCTAGGACCCAACCTGGTACCAGAAATGAAGGAAATGTCCCTGCAGGACCCACAGCCCTGGATGATGCAGCTTCCTCAGACGACACAAGCCCCAGACATTACCTGGGGGATGCTGAAGAAGACAACTCAGGAGGCTGAACGAATCCTGCTCTGGACACAAACACCATTCACTCCAGATAATTTATTCCTTACTATGCTTTATTAACCTTGTTTAATTCCCTCACTCTGCCTGCAACCAGTACCTGCTACACTCTATTGGGCCCATCTTCTAAATCTGCTTTTCTTCCACCCTATTACCTGGGTGGACACCCCCTTCCCAGCCTCTAATAACGTAACTGCTTGGCTGGAAGGGGTTAACATACCCCCAGTGGGGTTCCTTAGTAAGGGCACACACTGAACTGAGGTGGCAAGTAACACTACATGTCACTCCTTGATTGGAAAAGAATGTTACTGATTATATTCACGTTTATCTTATGTTATTTACTAATTCTAGGATGCAAAGCCGAAATACAAGCAGTGACCACTACACCTGAAAAACCTGTTGCTGCACATCTGTACTCTTCAATTAACAAAAGCTGATGCAAAAAACAGAAAAGGGGGAGATGTAGGAGATTGGTCAGGGTGGTGGGAGAAATTATAGTAAAGACACAAACCTTCTTGAAAGGCCAGGAGGTTTTACAAAAGCTTTGGAAGGAAATTATGGCTGAAGGCAGCCAAATTGTCTCATCTGGAGCCTGAGAGCAAAGGGCAGATAACAAGGGAATGTAAAGAAACTTATCTAGATAAATTTGTCTACTCCTGTCTCCAGAAACCAACCTTTAATCATTTGCATGCAGGACTGCTCTCTACTCGGGGGGTCAACAATGTTTATTACCCACAAATTGTGTTTGCTCCAAGCCTTTGTCATTAAATCTGTACCAAACAAATGCGAGGGCTGCCGGCTTAGGGGAACTGCTAATTCTCTTCGGCCCCTAGTGCTGGCAGTCCCCTATCCTGCTCTTTCACTGGATATCTGTATCTGAGTACTCCTTTCATCCGTCGCTTGGGCAGAGTCTGCAGGACAGACTCGGCAAGCCTTCCCAGTAGCTAGGACAACAGGCATGCACCAAAAATGCCTAGATAATTTTTATTTTTTTTGTAGAGATGGGGTTTCACTATGTTGTCCAGGCTGATCTCAAACTCCTGTGTTCAAGCAATCTTCCTGCCTTGGCCTCCCAAAGTGCTGGGAATACAGGCATGAGCCACCCACCCAGCCTATCACAACTCCTAACTAGGTTAATTCAAACCCCCACGCTAAAGACCTAACAGAAGGAAAAGTGTGCCCATTTCTACACAAAACCCATTTCCCTGGGCCTCTACTATCCTACACAAGATGTCCAACTTTCACCAACACTTATGAAGCAAGAGATAAATGACATACTCCCAAGAGACAAAGCAATCTTCAGAACCAAACACAGATGTCAGAGCTATGTGATACAGAATTTCAAATAACTAATATGGTAAAAGGTCTAACAGTAAAAGTAGACAATATGCAAGATCAAAAGTGCAATCTCAGTAGAGAGATGGAAGCTATGAGAACCAAATGGAACTGGTCAAAATAAGAAACACACTAATGGCCAGGTGCGGTGGCTCACGCCTGTAATTCCAGCACTTTGGGAGGCCGAGGCGGGCAGATCACGAGGTCAGGAGATTGAGACCATCCTGGCTAACGCGGTGAAACCCCGTCTCTACTAAAAATACAAAAAATCAGCCGGGCATGGTGGCGGGAGCCTGTAGTCCCACCTACTCAGGAGGCTGAGGCAGGAGAATGGTGTGAACCCGGGAGGCAGAGCTTGCAGTGAGCCGAGATTGCGCCACTGCACGCCTGGAGGACAGAGCGAGACTCTGTCTCAAAAAAAAAAAAAAAAAAGAAACACACTAACAGAGATGCAGAGATGAAGAGTGCCTCATGGAGCTCGTCAGTGGATTTGACACAGCCAAGGAGAGAATGAATGAACTCAAAGATAGGTCAAGAGAAATTATTCAAACTGAAACACTGGGGAAAAAGGGTGAAGGGAAAAAAAACCGTCAAAAGAGAACATCCAAGAGTTGTGGGACAATATCAAACACTCAAACATATTATAGTTAGATTCCCAGAAGAAAGGAGAGAGAACAGGAAAAGAAACATTTGAAGAATTAAAGGCTGAGAACTTTTCAACATTAAGGACAGAGCAAACCACAAAATCCAAGAAGCTCAGAGAACATGCAGAATAAACTCATATATATATATATATATATATATATATATATATATATACACACACACATATAAAATTAGATATACTCGAAATGCTAAAACAAAAGAAAATCTTAAAGGCAGCAAGGAAAAAGAAGACATTGCATACAGAGGAAGCTAAGAATTATGGAGACGTCAGAAACTATGCAAGCTAGAAGCCAATGGAGTGACCTTATTGCTGATGCTGATAGGGGAAAAACACATACACACACAAAAACTGCTCACCCAAAATTCCGGAATCCTATACCCAAATGAAAGTGTCTTTCAAAATAAAGGAGAAATAAACCCTGTTTCAGATAAAGAAAAACGGAATTCATTGCTCCTTCTACAAGATACTAAAGGAAGTTTTTCAGGCAAAAGGAATATGATACCAGAAAAAAACCTGGGTCTACACAATGAAATTAAGAGCACTGGAAATTGAATGAAGGTAAGTACAATTAAAATCTTTTTTAAATTACCTTAGAAATAACTGAAGTGAGCTGGGCATGGGGCTCAAACTTGAAATCCCATCATTTTTGGGAGGCTGAAGCAGGAGGATCCCTTGAGGCCAGGAGTTGAAGGCCAGCCTGGGCAACAGCCCCAATACCTCCATCTCTACAATAGAGGGTCACAAAACTTTTTTTTTTTTTTTTTTTTTTTTATGTGGAGTCTCACTCTGTCACCCAGGCTGGAGTGCAATGGTGTGATCTCGGCTCACTGCAGTCTCCGCCTCCTGGGTTCAAGTGATTCTCCTGCCTCAGCCTCCTGAGTAGCTGGGATTACAGACCTGTGCCACTATGCCTGGCTAATTTTTGTATGTTTAGTAAAGACGGGGTTTCACCACTTTGGCCAAGCTGGTCTCGAACTCCTGGCCTCATGTAATCTGCCTGCCTCGGCCTCCCAAAGTGCTGGGATTACAGGTGTGAGCCACCACGTCCTGCCAATCTTTTTCTATAAAGGAGCAGATAGGCCGGGTGCGGTGGCTCATGCCTGTAATCCCAGGCACTTTGGGAGGCTGAGGCGGGCGGATCACCTGAGGTCGGGAGTTTGAGACCAGCCTGACCAACATGGCAAAACCCCGTCTCTACTAAAAATACAAAAAAATTAGCCAGGCATGGTGGCGGGCTAATCCCAGCTACTCGGGAGGCTGAGGCAGGAGAATCACGTGGACCTGGGAGGCGGAGGTTGCAGTGAGCTGCGATTGCGCCATTGCACTCCAGCCTGGGCAACAAGAGTGAAACTCCATCTCAAAAAAATACATACATACATACACACATAAAATAAATAAATACATAAAGGAGCAGATAATAAATATTTTAGGTTTTGTAGGCCATATCTCTGTTGCAACCACTGAACTCTACCGTTGCAGCATGAAAACAGCCATAGACAGTAGGTAAATGAATGAGCGTGACTCTGTTTCAGTAAAGGTTTATGGACACTGAGATTTAAATTCCATATAGTTTTAATGTGCTACAATTAAGTTGTGATTTTTCAACATTTATCAAGGTAAAAGCCATTCTTAGTTCATGAGCCGTGCAAAATCAGGCAGTAGAGTGGTTTTGGCTTGCAGGTGGGCAGACCATCTTTTTTGCTAACCGCCTGGTCTAAGGCAAGCATATTAGCAATGAATTGTGTACTTGCAGCACATGCAAAAATTTAAAATACTGATAAAATGAATCGTGGTATATTTCTAAGATGAAATTCTACTTAACAACAAAAACAAATGAACTATTGATTAATGCAACATGATTGCTTATAAAATAATTACGCTGAGTAAAAGAAGCCAGACAAAAAAGACTACATACTATATGATTCCGTCCATAAAAAATTCCAGAAAATGAAAACCAATCTATAGTGACAGGATGTAGATCAGTGGTTGTTTGCAAGTGGTTGGTGGGTAGAGGGGAGAAAGCAAGAGAAGGAAGGGATTTTAAAAAGTAAAATGTAGGACAACAGCAAGAAGAACAGGAGGGAAGAAATGGGAATTTATTGTAAGGTCTTTATATTATACATGAAGCGGGACATTTTTTGAAAGTAAATTCTGGCCCAAGCTTCACAACGACCACACAACTGTTTAGTCCTAGAGTTGTGGTGGTGGGAATGGGGTGGGGGTCACTGTTCCATCACTACCAAAAGCAAGAATCCAGCTGGCTGGATGACCAGCGCAGTAAACTGAGAAGGGAATAAATATCTCAAATTGCTTGAGCACGTTACTCTTAAACTGGGATGACTTAAATCTTCCTTCAGTGGGCACTAAGCATCTTTTAACCTCAATGATGATTTATTTCATTTTATTTATTTATTTTTTGAGATGGAGTCTCACTCCGTCTCTTAGGCTGGAGTGCAGTGGCGCAATCTTGGCTCACTGCAACCTCTGCCTCCCAGGTTCAAGCAATTCTCCTGCCTCAGCCTCCCAAGTAGCTGGGATTACAGGCAGGCACCACCATGCCCAGCTAATTTTTGTATTTTTAGTAGAGATGGGGTTTCACCATGTTGGTGAGGCTGGTCTTGAACTCCTGACCTCAAGTGATCTGCAGCCCTTCACCTCCCAAAGTGCTGGGATTACAGGCATGAGCCTCACAGATGATTTAGAACAAAGACTAGAAATGTTTTCAAACTTCTAGTATTAATAATTTTGCATTAAGGCATCTGTGTAAATGTGATACTTTAAATTCCTATAATGTTCAAGATAATTTCAAGAGCTTGGCACTGTGATTCACGCCTGTAATCCCAGAGCTTTGGGAGGCGAAGGCAGTTTGAGACCGGCCTGGGCAACATAGGGAGATTCCCCACCCCCTCTATAAAAACTAAAAAAACTAGCCAGGCATGGTAGTGTGTACCTACAGTCTCAGCTACTCGGGAGGCTGCAACAGGAGGCTAGCTTGAGCCCAGGAGCTTGAGGCTGCAGTGAGCTATGATCGCTATTGCACTCCAGTCTGGGTGATAGAGTGAGACTCTGTCTCAAAAAAAAAAAAAAGATAATTTTGAGAATTCTAACAGATTATTCTTGTACTAATTACAAATATGTATTTGAATAGATTTAGACTTTTGATTTTAAGATGAAATCTCGTTTGTATTGACACATTTGAAAGCACTCATGACTCAGTATTCTTATAAATGTATTACATTTACAAGAATTACACAAGGACTTGAAAGGCTTTGTTAGAAACCTGTGATACTTAGAAAAACGAATTGAATTTATAAATGCAGTTTCAAATGTTCAAAGGATTTTAATTAGCTTAGTTTATTAATGGGACCAAATAACTGATATAATTTACTAGATTTATGAATAGAACTGTAAAACTTGGCTGTGCGCGGTGGCTCACGCCTGTAATCCCAGCACTTTGAGAGGCTGAGGCGGGCGGATCACGAGGTCAGGAGTTTCATGGGCTGGAGGTCTCAGGATAATAAAGAACTGTTGTGGTTGGGGGTGGGAGGTGGAAGAGAGTCATCAAGCAACTGGAATTATGGGAACTTCAGCATGAAGACCTAGCACTAGAAATTCGGGAGGCCACAATCACAATATCAGGGATATAACCAAGGGAATGGATGTCTAATTGGAAAGAAAGGAATATCACTGAAGACGAGAAGGAAATCAGACCTGATAAGCCAGAGCGCTGCTTTAGATGAGTGGCCACTATTTCGCACAACTTAAGGGGGCACGGTTCACGTGAACGTCTACGTAAATGGCGCTCCCAGGCCTTGTGCAGTGCATAACCTGCGGACCCGTATGACATGAACCTGCTAGATCCCCAAGTACCCAAGAACTGATGACAGGAGTTCGTGTGGGGAGACGAGACAGGAGGTAAAAAAATAATCCTTGGTAAGCAAAAATTGGTCATAATTGTGGAGTATTTACTATATGCTTGGTGATGTTCTAAACACTCTCAATAACCTTGTGAGTTCAATATTTTTATTATCATCAATACTATTTTACAGATGAAAGAAGCAAAGGAAACGACAGCTGGTCTCGAGCACACTCGCTCAAGAGCGCCACACTCTACACCGTAGAGTCTACAGCGCAGACGAAGCCAACTCCTCAGAGCGCTCACCGCGCTCTTTCCGCAGCCTCCCCCGCCGCCGGCCGGGCGTAGCGCAGGGTCACGTGCCGGCGCGGGGCGGGGCCAGCGGGGCGCCTGCGCGCCTGCGCGCCGCTGGCCGACGGAGGGGAGCCTGCCGATGCCGAGCGGGTGCTACGTCCCGCGGTCGGAGCCGCGTCTTCTCCCGGCTCCGCCACCAGCCGGGGCTCGGGTGGGGGCCCGGGGCCCCGGGGCATGGCCCTCCGGAGTGCGCAGGGCGACGGCCCCACCTCCGGCCACTGGGACGGCGGCGCGGAGAAGGCAGGTACGGAAGCCGACCGGGGCGCCGGGAGCGGCCTGCGAGGGCGGCCCGGGGGGCAGGGGCAGCTGGCGGAGGCGGCGCCGGAGGGGCGCGGGCTGGGGACCCGGGGCTGCTGCGGGGTTCCGGGCGGCGAGAGGAACAGGCTGAGGGCCCAGGGCACGTCTGATGAGGAGAGGGCCTGGAACTGGGGGGGCTCGGGCGGGTGCCGAGCTGACCCGAGGGAGCCTGGCGGCAGAGTCGCGTCCCCAGGCAGAAGAGCGGGCGGCGGCTTCGCGCCCCGGCTTTCTTCCATCTGGAGAGGACTGGGACTCCTCGAGCGCGGAGGCCAGGCCCACCCCGTCCCAGGCGTCCGCCACGTCCGCAGGCTCCCGGAGCCGCCTCCCCGAGGGGTATCAGCTCTCCCGAACTGCATTCACCGTCGCCGGCTTGATTGACGCGCTGCCCGCGTACCGCCGATGTAATTACCACACAGTTCTTCCTTTAAGGTGCACAGTTCAGTGATTCTTAGAAAATTCACAAAGTTGTGCAGCCATCGCCGCTGTCTGATTCCAAAACGAAACCCTTACCCATTAATAGGCACTCCGCGTTCCCCGGTATTCACGACGCCTGGCAACCACGAATCGACTTTCTGTCTGTCTTCTGCCACCTATTTTAATGTTATTCAATTGTGTAAAAGCGGCCGGGCACCATGGCTCGCGCCTGTAATCCCAGCGCTTTGGGAGGCCATGGTTGGAGGATCGATTGAGGCCAGGATTTCGAGATCAGGCTGGGAAACACAGCGAGGCCTCATCTCTACAAAAAGTTTTTAAAAGTTAGTCGGGTGTGGAGGCTCGAGCCTGTGATCCCAACGACTCTGGAGGCTGAGGCAGGAGGATCGCTTGAGCCCAGGACTTAGAGGCTACTCTATGATTGCGCCACTGCACTCCGGCCTGGGTGACAGATGGAGACCCTATCTCAATAATAATAATAAGTAAATAATTGTATAAAAAGCGCTTCTATTTTTATACTCTTTTAGTTTGGACAATTTCTGTGAAATCATGTTTTTGTTGCACATGATGTTCTCAAATGTTTTTCATTCAATAAATACATGACAGTTAAAATTATGAATGTACACCGTGAACCAAGTTAAATAATCTTTTTTCCTTGAGGAAGACTAAGGTGACTTTCCCTATTTCCAGTCCTCTGATGGATGGTGCCCGTAACAGAGCCAAACACGTTATTAATACAACCCACATATTTTGAGGAAGCTCCTGGTATCTATATTTTATTTTATATTTTATTTGGGCTCATTTTCTGTTTTTCCCTTTTTCTTATGTTCTGATACTGAATGGAAGTGGAGCTCTGAACCCTTTGGCACCGTAACCCTTTAATTACTGGTGTTTGTGTGATGTCTGTCCTCATGGCATAACAGTCAATGCCCTAGGCAGCATGGGTCTTGTGACCTGTTGGCAGTGCAGCTGTGTATCTGTTGCAAGACTTTACCCCCTCTAGTTTCCTTGATTTTGCTTCTCTGGATGAATGGGACAAATTTAAAGATGAGGTTTTTTGTTTTTGTTATTGTTTTGTTTTTTAATCATATCAGAGTATTGTTGGCAAAGTTACTAATGCTAGAATCCCTCTTTTGTAGCGTTTATAGTCAGATTGGTTTACTTACTAGACTGTTTTTTTCCATTGTAGTGAAACATTCTTTCTTGGTACCTGCTTTTTCCAGGTAGTTAACAGAATCTTTGCTAATTTGGATACTGTTTTGTAGAAACTACTAATGAAGACCTCCAGAAACAGAGGCTAGTTTGTTTTATTTTGTGTTTAATAGAACTCTTACCCAGACTGAAATAAGGTTTTCCTCTCCTGCTGTGGTCTTCTGGTACAGACGTGGAGTTAAAGCATTTTTTTTTTTTTTTTTTGAGAGATGGGATCTTGCCCTGTCACCCGGGTTGGAGTGCAGTGTCACAGTCAAAGCTCACTGTCATCTCCCAACTCCTGGACTTAAGTGCTCCTCCCACCTCAGCCTCCTGAGTAGCTGGGACTACAGGCATAAATTTTCAAGTTAATTTCCAATGTCAATATCAGTAGTTGTGGGTGGGTGTAGGGGTATGTCTGTCTCCCTCCCTCCACACAAAACGGCCCCCCCCTTCCATTGTTTTAAGACTAGCATTTCTTAATTTGAGCTTAATTTCAGTTTAAAGACTGTAAAGCCTTTATGATAATGCAGGCTTAAACCAAATAATCAGTATGGAATTTTGTACGCTCACACGAGATTCCATTATATAAATTAGTTGATCCAAGTTAGTATTTGTTTTGGTGATATGAAAAAATATATGAAAAAACTTTTAGAGGAGGCATGGATAGTGGTCATCTTTAGTTGTTATCGTCCCTTCCCAGTGTATTAAGTGCCCTAATCCAGGTGATTTTGGACATGCCTATTACTCTGAGGGGGCAGAAATCTTTACCTGGATTCTGTAGCCAGAGTTGGGAGAAGTTTAAGCCAATAGTGGGTTGTGTCATCTTTATCTGAACCATTAAGAACCACAGTTCAGATGAAGTGTCCCATTGTTAAAATTAGCATTTTAGGGAGTTGAGTCTGATCTCCCTCCCTGACTACAAAACCCTGTTGCAGTTGTTGCTATACCTATTGCTGTGGTGCCCCTCAAATAAAGTCTGCTTTGCCCTCTTTATAAATAAATAAATAAATAAATAAAAATAAGCGTTCTAATGAAGAGTAGGCCAAAGTCATACCTATCTTCCTTTGTTGAATGAATTACTTTTCAGGCATCAGGGATTTATTTATAGCAGTCTTATATTTTGCAGCCAGCTGTAGGACGGTCATTCGTTCCATCATGGTTATGATAGCCAAGACCTCTACTATAAAGGAATTTGGAAGGTATCAGCTTTGGAATAATAGTGCACTATCTTGTAAGTGGGGCAATAAAGAAATTGGAGAAGAAAGGATTGAGGGAGATTAGAATGACATACATTCTACCTCTAGATGAAATGTGGGCTTTTATTCCAAGCCAGATACAGCGTTCTCAAGTCCAGAAATGTGTGTCCTGCTCTAAATCTATAAAGTTTATCTCGAAATACAATAGATAATAGGCATTTATTTTAATCTTTTCCTGAACATCCCAAGAATAGCTCTATGATGTTTCTCTTTCGGAAATAAACAGGATGTCTGTGAATTTGTCTTTCAGTGGAGACGCTGCTAACTCCCTCCCTGTGTCGTCTAGCAGTTGATCTCACTCTGTAATTCATACATCTTTAGCTCACTTGAATTTTCTGTTTCCTCTTCCCTTTTTATGTCACAGTGAGAGCCTATACATTTAGTTGGAATAAAGTATTTGTCAGAGTGGCACACGTGGGAGTGCTTTCTCCATCTGCCACTGACATTTAATCACTAGGCTGTGGGGTTGAGGAGGGTGGTGTTGGGGCCTGAAAAAAACAGCAGCCGAAATCCACGTTGGGACAGCATCCTCCTCTGGGAAACACCGGTAGTGTTAGAAACAGGCCAAAGAGTCTGCAGATCTGTTTAGAGAGTTCTGCAGTGAGCATCACCTTAACAGTATGGGAAAAATAATGTCATTTACTGCAAGCCAGTTTTTTCCAGAGGAACAATAACTAAACTAAATCACTTACTATATTCTGCACGTATTTGTTGCGTTCCCACAGAGTGCCAAAAATTTTGAAATAGTAAGTAAATTTTGAAATGCAGGATTAAAAGTAGAATTGGAGGCCAGGTATGGTGGCTCAACGCCTGTAATCCCAGCACTTTGGGAGGTCGAGGTGGGTGGATCACTAGAGCCCAGGAGTTTGAGATCAGCCTGGGCAACACTTTTTTTCTCTACAAAATATATATACGCAAAAATTAGCTGGGCCAGTGGAGCTTGTCTGTGGTCCCAGCTACCTGGGAGGCTAAGGCAGGAGGATCACTTGAGCCCAGAAGGTTGAGGCTGCAGTGAGCCATGATCGTGCCACTATTCTCCAGCCTGGGTGACAGAGTAAGACCCTGTCTCTAAAAAAAAAAAAAAAATTGGAACAGAGTCTTAAGAGAAATGAGTTATGGGAGGTATGATTTGAGGATTTGAGTTCAGAATTAAGTAACATTCTGGCAAATGGTTTGCCAAAACCTCATGGAAATTCAGTTGACTGCATAGTGGTTTTTTTCCCCAAGATACAAGATTTCCTTTCTCCCAGATTGCCGAATAGCTTATTTAGAAAGAGAGATGGGGTGGATGTATGTCTAAACAAACTGAAGAAAAATTATCATACTCTTAGCAAATAGGTTAACAAGACTTCTGAATATCAGCTTCCCTCAAGCAGTATTCAGTATTGCCACTCAAGTGCTGTCAATTTGTGATGTGTGGAAAGTGCAGGGGTACTCCCAAGTTAAAAAAAAATTAAATATGTTAGGTTTTTTCTCTTTGTTGGAAATTAAATTCTTCTCATGGTTTGCCTCCACCGATGTTATATAAAAAGGCTTCTCTGTTTCCTGCATGTTTTTGACCCCTCTTGAAAACGTACAGCCTGGTCTTCCAAAGGATGGCCCTCAGGCCCAAAGTAAAATCCCTCCCTGTCTTCCTCCTGAGTACAGGATAAACCCAGACTCCTTTGCGGGATGAATCCAGCCCAGCCTCTTTTACTGCGGTGCTACCTGCTTCTGTTCTCTCCCTTTACCTGGCACTTCAGCTTCATAGAACTCTTTGTTTCCTGGACATGGTGTTTCTTTCATGTGACAAGGTCTTTGCACATAACTCTTCTGCCTGGAGTACTTTCCCCTTAACACACTCTTCCCTGTGGCAAAATTTTCTTTAAGAACGTACCAGAGCCCAGTGTGGTGGCTCACATCTGCGATCCTAGCACTTTGGGAGGTTGAGGCAAGAGGATTGCTTGAGCCCAGGAGTTCAAGATCAGTCTGGGCAACATAATGAGACCCCACCTCTACAAAAAATTTTTTTAAAATTAGGCATGGTGGCATAGAAGGCTGAGGTGGAAGGATCGCTTGAGCCCTAGAGGTTGAGGCTGCAGTGAGCTATGATTGTGCCACTGCACTCCAGCCAAGGCAACAGAGTGAGACCCTGTCTAAATAAATAAATAAAAATTAAAAAGAAGGGCCAGATGCGGTGGCTCATGCCTGTAATCCTAGCACTTTGGGAGGCCAAGGTGGGCGGATCACCTGAGGTGGGGAGTTCGAGACCAGCCTGACCAACATGGAAAAACCCTGTCTCTACTAAAAATACAAAATTAGCCAGGCATGGTGGTGCATGCCTGTAATCCCAGCTACTCGGGAGGCTGAGGCAGGAGAATTGCTTGAACCTGGGAGGTGGAGGTTGCGGTGAGCTGAGATCGTGCCGTTGCACTCCATCCTGGGCAACAAGAGTGAAACTCTGTCTCAAAAAAAAAAAAAAAAAAAATTAAAAGAAGGATCCAGAATATATTCTTGGTGAAGCCTTTCCTGACTGCTTTAGAAGTAGTCATTCTTGGCCAGGTGTGGTGGCTCACTCCTGTAATCCCAGCACTTTGGGAGGCCGAGGCAGGCAGATCACCTGAGATCAGGATTTCAAGACCAGCCTGGCCAACATGGCAAAACCCCGTCTCCACTAAAAATACAAAAAATTAGCCAGGCGTGGTGGTGAATGCCTGTAATCCCAGCTACTCGGGAGGCTGAGGCAGGAGAACTGCTCAAACCCAGGAGGTGGAGGTTGCAGTGAGCTGAGATCGCAACACTGCGCTCCAGCCTGGGCAACAAAGAGCGTAACTCCGTCTCAAAAAAAAAGAAGAAGAAAAAAAGTCATTCTTTCCTCTGGATTTTCATAATCCCTCAGATTCTATTATATATAATAATTGTTTGTGTCCCTACTGTGAGCCCTTCAAGGGCTGGGAGGGAGTAATTCATCTTTTTATCCCCAGTACAGTGCTTAGTACAAGTAGACACCCATTAAGTGACAGACTGATGAATGACTGGACAAATGGGCAGGCGGATGAATGGATGAATGGATGAATGGATGAAAGGACACACCTGAGTCAAGAGCTTGACACATCTCATGAACAATTGACTAGGTGTTATGCTGACAGAAGAAATTGGAGATTTTTTTTTGTTTTTGAGACAGAGTCTTACTCTATCACCCAGGCTGGAGTGCAGTGGCACAATCATGCCTCACTACAACCCGCCTCTGCCTCCTAAGCAGCTGGAATTACAGGTGCACGCCGTCACGCCCACCTATTTTTTGTAGAGACAAGGTTTTGCCATGTTGTGCAGGCTGGTTGCTCTCCAAATCCTGGGGTCAAGCAATCTGCCCACGTCGGCTTCCTAAAGTGCTGGGATTATAAGCATGAGCCACGTCTGGACTAAAAACCATGCCCGGCAGTGGTTTTTATTTTATTATATTTTTATTTTTATTTTGTTTATTTTTTTGAGACGGAGTTTTGCTCTCGTTGCCCAGGCTGGAGTGCAGTGGCGTGATCTCAGCTCACTGTAACCTCCGCCTCTTGGGTTCAAGTGATTCTCCTGCCTCAGCCTCCCAAGTAACTAGGATTACAGGCACCTGCCACCACGCCTGGCTAATTTTGTATTTTTAGTGGAGACGGGGTTTCGCCATGTTGGTCAGGCTGGTCTCGAACGCCTGACCTCAGGTGATCCGCTCGCCTCGACTTCCCAAAGTGCTGGGATTACAGGCATGAGCCACCACGCCTGGCCTATTTTATTTTATTTTTTATTTATTTATTTTATGAGACAGAGTGTCACTCTGTTGCCCAGTCTGGAGTACAGTGGCATGATCTCGGCACACTGTAACCTCCGCCTCCCGGGTTCAAGCGATTCTCCTGCCTCATCCTCCTGAGTAGATGGGACTACAAGCGTGCACCACCACACCCGGCTAATTTTTATATTTTTAGTAGAGACAGGGTTTCACCATGTTGGTCAGGCTGGTCTCGATCTCCTGACTTCAGGTAATCTGCCCACCTTGGCCTCCCAAAGTACTGGGATTATAGGTGTGCCCAGAAGGGGTTTTATTTTTAATGATTTCTAGGTAGGTAACCATTTAATTTGGCTTCCAAACTGGGACATATTTGAGAATACAGGGAGCAGAAAGGGTTTGCTGTGAACAATTGTGCCAGGACTCTAGGTATAAACCAGGAAGATCTCAGACAGATGAGGACAAATGGTCACCCTACTAGGTTACCAGGAAACAGCAGTCAAGCCAGGAGGACAGGTTTACCGAGGTGAAAAGTTACTCCTATTATCTTTCTGTCGCACTTCCAATTGCACATGGCTCCAAACCAGCTAGTGCCTCTGTTTATGTGGGTTTTACGTTTCAGGTCTCATAGGTAGCTCACCTGTGACTTATTAGTACCAACTTTAATTTATGTTAATAATGGGCCAGACCTGATGGCTCATGCCTATAATCCCAGCACTTTGGGAGCCTGAGGCAGGCAGATCACTTCAGGTCAGGAGTTCGAGACCAGCCTGGCATGGTGAAACCCTGTCTCTACTAAAAATACAAAAAATTAGCTAGGTGTGGTGGCAGCATGCGCCTGTAATCCTGGCTACCTGGGAGGCTGAGGCCCGAGAATGGTTTGAACCCAAGAGACAGAGGTTCCAGTGAGCCAAGATTGCTTCACTGCACTCCAGCCTGGGAGACAAAGCAAGACTCTGTCTCAAAAAATAAAAATAAAATAATAATAATAATAATAATAATGTACAGCTTTGTCATAGAAACAGTTTGTAGACTCACAATGGTCTCAGACTAGAACATTGCTGGGGAAGATGCTTGGTGTCCCTTCTAAAACCTAATGTACCTTCTGTTAGTTATTTCTAAAATCTGCCCTACCTTCTGGTGATATCTTCCACTTCAAATGAACTCTGGTGCCTTGCACCTAATATATACTACATAAATATTTTTTAATTAGTCTATTTACTGTCAAATGGAAGGGCCGTATCTCCTGGCCTTTCTTCTGTACCCTTCATCCCAGCCCCTGAATGTCCTCCATTTCCTTTGTGTGTATACACATTTAGTTTTATTGTAACAAGGCAACTCGTACACTTTTTTTTTTCCTTTTTTCTTGTATAAGCAGGTGAATCCATGTTCTTTCTGCCTTTTTTTTTTTTTTTTGAGACAGAACTTGTCACCCAGGCTAGAGTGCAGTGGTGTGATCTCAGCTCACTGCAAGCTCCGCCTCCCAGGTTCACCTCATTCTCCTGCCTCAGCCTCTCGAGTAGCTGGGACTACAGGCGCCCGCCACCACGCCTGGCTAATTTTTTTGTATTTTTTTAGTAAAGACAGGGTTTCACCGTGTTAGCCAAGATGGTCTCGATCTCCTGACCTCATGATCTGCCCACCTCGGCCTCCCAAACTGCTGGAATTGCAGGCGTGAGCCACCGCACCTGGCCTAATTATTGTATTTTTAATAGAGATGGAGTTTCACCATGTTGGCCAGGCTCGTCTCAATCTCCTGACCTCAGTGATCCATCCACCTCGGCCTCCCAAAGTGCTGGGATAGGCCAGGTGTGGTGGCTCACGCCTGTAATCTCAGTACTTTGGGAGGCTGAGACTGGCGGGTCACGAGGTCAGGAGTTTGAGACTAGCCTGACCAACATGGTGAAACCCTGTCTCTACTAAAAATACAAAAAAAAAAATTAGCCAGGCATGGTGGCACGTGCCCGTAATCCCAGCTACTCAGGAGACTGAGGCAGGAGAATCACTTGAACCTGGGAGGTGGAGGTTGCAGTAAGCCGAGATTGCGCCTCTGCACTCCAGTCTGGGCAATAGGGCGAGACTCCGTCTCAAAAAAAAAAAAAAAAAAAAAAATGCTGGATTACAGGCACGAGCCACCGTCCGTGGTTGCTGTCGTTGTTGTTGTTGTTTTTGAGACGGAGTTTCGCTCTTGTCGCCCAGGCTAGAGTGCAGTGGCATATAGCATGATCTCGGCTCACTGCAACCTCTGCCTCCCAGGTTCAAGCAATTCTCCTGCCTCAGCCTCCCGAGTAGCTGGGATTACAGGCATGCGCCGCCACGCCCGGCTAATTTTTTGTATTTTTAGTAGAGACGGGGTTTCTCCATGTTGGTCAGGCTGGTCTCGAACTCCTGACCTCAGATGATCTGCCCACTTCGGCCTCCCAAAGTGCGAGGATTACAGGCGTGAGCCACTGCGCCCAGCCTGTTTTTTTTTTTTTTTTTTTTTTTTTTTTTTTTTTTGAAACGGAGTTTCGCTCTTGTTGCCCAGGCTGGAGTGCAATGGCGCGATCTGCAATCTCAGCTTACCTCAATCTCCGCCCCCTGGGTTCAAGCGATTCTGCTTCAGCCTCCTGAGTAGCTGGCATTACCGGCCTGTGCCACCACGCCCGGCTAATTTTGTATTTTTAGTAGAGATGGGGTTTCTCCGTGTTGGTCAGGCTGGTCTCAAACTCGCAATCTCAGGTGGTCTGCCCGCCTCGGCCTCCCAAAATGCTGGGATCACAGGCATGAACCACCGTGCCCAGCCTTGTTTTTGTTTTTAGAGACAGGTCACCAGGACACCTTCCTCCTTTTCCTCAGACTAGAACATTGCTGGGGAAGATGCTTGGTGTCCCTTCTAAAACCTAATGTACCTTCTGTTAGTTATTTCTAAAATCTGCCCTACCTTCTGGTGATATCTTCCACTTCACATGAACTCTGGTGCCTTGCACCTAATATATACTACATAGTTTAAATAAAATTTAGAATTCTGCTGGAGTGGAAAAGTCCAGTGCCTTGATAATAGGGTATTGCTCTGTCACCTAGGCTGAAGTGCAGTGGTGCTATCATAGCTCACCACAGCCTTATACTCCTGGGCTCAAGTGATCCTCTCGCCCCAGCCTCCTGAGTAGCTGGGACCACCATGCCTGGCTAACTTTTCGTACTTTTTGTAGAGACAGGGTCTCACTTTGTTGCCCAGGCTGTTCTCGATTTTGTGGACTCAAGTGATTCTCACACCTTGGCCCTCCACAGCACTGGGATTACAGGTGTGAGCCATTGTACCTGGCTTCCTTAACTTGTACACTTTTTTTTGTTTGTTTGTTTTTGAGATGGAGTCTCGCTATGTCGCGCCCAGGCTGGAGTGCAGTTGTGCGATCTTGGCTCACTCCAGCCTCTGCCACCGGGGTTCAAGCAATTCTCCTCTTTCAGCCTCATGAGTAGCTGGGATTACAGGCGTGCGCCACCAGGCCAGGCTAACTTTTGTATTTTTAGTAGAGACGGGGTTTCCTCATGTTGGTCAGGCTGGTCTCGAACACCTGACCTCGTGATCTGCCTGCCTCAGCCTCCCAAAGTGCTGGGATTACAGGTGTGAACCACTGTGCCCGGCCTTTTGCTTGTACACTTTTAACATTTAAAGCAGAGTATCATCTTTACAGTGAAAGAAAAATAAAATTTAAAAATGAACAGGAACAAAATTACAATACAGAATTCAATTCCAAATAAGATTCTACAGGTTATGCTGATTGTCCTAATCAAGTGGTGAGGCTCAAACCATCATTAAGAGAGAATTTATTGGTTTATTGATTTATTTAAACTATATATATATGGTTGAGGCTGCAGTGAGCCATGACTGTGCCACTACACTCCATCTTGAGTGACTGAACAAGACCCTGGCATCAAGGCATTGGACTTTTCCACTCCAGCAGAATGGGCTTTGCAGGAAAAGGAAGAAGGTATCTGGAAGCAATAGGAGACAAAAGTAAAGAAAAGGCAGATGTGATGGGTGCTGCTTTGGGTTTAACTTGAGACACCAAAGATAGGTAGGTCTGAAGCCGAGAGAATTTATTTATTTATTTATTTTTCTTTTGAGACAGAGTCTTGCTCTGACGTCCAGGCTAGAGTGCAGTGACGCTATCTCGGCTCACTATAACCTCCACCTTGCAGGTTCAAGCGATTCTCCTGCCTCAGCCTCCTGAGTAGCTGGGACCACAAGCGCCTGCCACCATGCCCGGCTAGTTTTTTGTATTTTTAAAGTAGAGACAGGGTTTCACCATGTTGGCCAGGCTGGTCTCGAACTCCTGACCTCAGGTGATCTGCCTGCCTTGGCCTCCCAAAGTGCTGGGATTACAGACGTGAGCCACCGTCCCCGGCCAAGAATGTATTTTAAAAAGGTCGTCTTACACTGCAAGGATGTTCATTAAACATCACAATTAAGCATGTCAAGAGAGTTTTGCTCCTCTTCCTTTTTAAGGTACACTTCTCAGGTTAGCTTGGCCCTGACCCACTGCAGTCTCTTTGAGCTCTTGGCCATTATTGTCTGCATGCACCTTTTTTGACAATTATAGTCTACTGCCTTGTGACGTTTGGTGTTGTCTTGTGTAACATTTCTTGTGTTTTTGACATATTTTCTCAATGGTACTGGCAACTAGAAAGAACTGAAATACAGGCATCATCCATTTAACTTCCACAAGCCATCCCTAAAAGCAGACATTCTGCATGCAAACTTTCAGAGCCTTTTACTCCTTTATCTCCCCTGATCTCAGCCAAAGGCCAAAAAGCAATACTCTGTTATTTCACATAGAAAAATGATATGATAGCTACTAACCACAAATTCCCAACCAATTTCCCAAAAAAGTTATTTATTTATTTATTTGAAGGCTAGTCAAGTGAAGCAGTGGGCGTGGAAAAGGAACAAAGAAATCTAACTGATTGTAATCAATGAGTTGTAAATAGCACCACTCAGGGACCAGTCCTAAAAAGTAATTTAAACATGGCAAAATGTCTATGAATAACAGACTATCACATAAGGATGTAAGATGCTTAAAACATTACTTACTATGGTTTTTAAGAAACAGTTCCTTTGTATGCAGTGTCACAGCCTCTCTGTGGCAGTGTCTGGTGGCAGTGTCACCAGCCACACTGGAAACCCAAGTACCCTTTGACACTGGTTTTGAAAACATCTCTGTGTTGGCCAGGCGTGGTGGCTCACGCTTGTAATCTCAGCACTTTGGGAGGCTGAGGCAGGTGGATCACTTGAGGTCAGGAGTTCGAGACCAGCCTGGCCAACATGGTGAAACCCTGTCTAAAAAAAAAAAAAAATTAGCAAAGCGTGGTGGTGCATGCCTGTAATCCCAGCTACTCAGGAGGCTGAGGCAGGAAAATCACTTGAACCTGGGACAGGGAGGTTGCAGTGAGCTGAGATCGCGCCATTACACTCCAGCCTGGGCGACAGTGAGACTCCATCTCAAAAAAAAAAAAAAATCTCTATGTGATTCTAATGTTTTTACCAGTTGTAGTAGCGTGTAACAGGAGACCTTTTCATGTGGTTATGTTTTCAATGTAGTATCGAGTTTTGGTGACATGCATTTTTCCTATTTAAACAACAGGAAAAAATTGTTACAGTAAGAGATGTATATGCTCTGTGAAGTTTGGGAATTAAGAATGGACATTCTTGTATGAAAACATTGACACTAACTGCTAGATATGCCTGAATTTACTGAGCGTTTATTATAGTTGTAATTCCTTGCTTGTTACTTACACAGTATATCTCCTTAGTGCTTTGCATATTACGTACTAATTAAATATCTGTAGGTTGATTTGTAAAATACATGTTGTTTCAGAGTGAGGAGGGGAGCTAATATTTAGTAAGTATCTACTGTGTACCATGGTAACTATCCTGACAAGAGGGTGTCAGTCCAGAGGCCCAGAGCAGGGAAGTCATCTGTCCAAGATTATGGATCAGATAAGTGGCAGAGCCAGGATTTGAACCAAGATCTGTCTGATTTTAACACATTTCTTTTTTCACTTATCATTTTTTTTGAGACGGAGTCTCACTTTGTCGCCCAGGCTGGAGTGCAGTGGCACGATCTTGGCTCACTGCAACTTCAGCCTCCTGGGTTTCAAGCGACTCTCCTGCCTCAGCCTCCCGAGTAGCTGGGATTACAGGTGCATGCCACCACGCCTGGCTAATTTTTGTATTTTTAGTAGAGATGAGGTTTTGCCATGTTGGCCAGGCTGGTCTCGAACTCCTGACCTCATTATCTGCCCACTTCGGCCTCCCAAAGTGCTGGGATTACAGGCATGAGCCACCGTGCCCAGCCTCACTTACCTTTTTTTTTTTTTTTTTTTTAATGTATTGGGAGGCTGAGACAGGAGAATCACTTGAACCCGGGAGGCAGAGGTTGCAGTGAGCCGAGATCGTGCCACTGCACTCCAGCCTGGCGACAGAGCAAGAGTCCTTCTCAAAAAAAAAAAAAAAAAAGTACATATAGGCTGGGCGTGGTGGCTCACACCTGTAATCCTAGCACTTTGGGAGACCGAGGCAGGAGGATCACGACGTCAGGAGTTCATGACCACCCTGGCCAACGTTGTGAACGCTATCTCTGCTAAAAATACAAAAATATAGCTGGGCATGGTGGTGCGTGCCTGAAATCCCAGCTACTTGGGAGGCTGAGGCAGAATTGCTTGAACCGGGACCCGGGAGGCGGAGGTTGCAGTGAGCTGAGATTGCGCCACTGCACTCCAGCCTGGGCTACAGACCGAGACTCCGTCTCAAAAAAAAAAAAAAAAAAAAGTACGTGTAATTATTTCTGGACCAGGCATGGTGGCATGCACCTGTAGTCCCAGCTGTTTGGAAGGCTGAGGTGGGAGGATCGGTTTTGCCTAGGAGTTTGAGGCCAGCCTGGGCAACTTAGAGAGACAATGTCTCTTTTTTTTTTTTTTTTTCAAGACGGAGTCTCGCTCTGTCATCCTGGCTGGAGTGCAGTGGCACGATCTCGGCTCACTGCAACCTCCGCCTCCCAGGTTTAAGTGATTCTTCTGCCTCAGCCTCCTGAGTAGCTGGGACTACAGGCGAGCACCACGATGCCCAGCTAATTTTTGTATTTTTAGGAGAGACGGGGGTTCACCATATTGGCCAGGCTGGTCTCGAATTCCTGAACTTGTGATCCGCCCACCTCGGCCTCCCAAAGTGCTGGGATTACAGGCATGAGCCACCACACCCAGCCGACACTGTCTCTTAAAAACAACAACAACTAATAATTATTTCCAGTCTGTGCCTATGATTTTTGGTTCAGACCTATAAAAAGAGACTATCTTTTTAAAAATCGGTGATTTAAAATCTGTTTTATAGTGGGCTCTCCAAGCCTCCCACCATGAGGTCCAGTAGACTGGGCCCGAAATGAATAGTGCATCTGGCTGTGAGACTTTATGCCAGCAGGCAGTCTTAGAGCTAAGAGGAGATACTTACCTGTACCTCATATCAAAAAGGAGCTTGAGTCCTAGGCAGAAAATATGCACGTGCTGAATGTGCGCCTAATTCTTCCCTATCCTTATCTTCAGACTTTAACGCCAAAAGGAAAAAGAAAGTGGCAGAGATACACCAGGCTCTGAACAGTGATCCCACTGATGTGGCTGCCCTTAGACGCATGGCTATCAGTGAAGGAGGGCTCCTGACTGATGAGATCAGACGAAAAGTGTGGCCCAAGCTCCTCAATGTCAATGCCAATGACCCACCTCCTATATCAGGTAAGGGGAGTGGGGGAGGCTGTGAGGGGAGCTTATCTAGGAGACAGGGGGAAAAGAATTCCAGGATCTTTAATTTTTATGGTCCTTTCAAACCAAGGGTATATGAATAAATCTAGGGTGTTTTGGGAAATGCTTGGGCCCACTCTGAAAATAAGGCCAAACCGATAAGTAGAATTTTATTCAAAAGTGGAATGAGTTCTTTTTTTACTTGTTTTTATTTTATTTATTTTTGAGACGGAGTCTTGCTCTGTCACCCAGGCTGGAGTGCGGTGGCACAATCTCAGCTCACTGCAACCTCTGCCCCCTGGGTTCAAGCAATTTTCCTGCCTCAGCCTTCCTAGTAGCTGGGATTACAGACATGCGCTACCATGCCTGGCTAATTTTTGTATTTTTAGTAGAGATGGGGTTTTGCCATGTTGACCAGGCTGGTCTCGAATTCCTGACCTCAAGTGATCAGCCTGCTTCGGCCTCCCAAAGTGCTGGGATTACAGGCATGAGCTACCACGCCCAGGCAAGTTCTTTTTTTATTAGGGATTAAAATATTGGCTAGGCAAGTGAATTTATTAAAAATGCATATGCTTTGTTCTGCATACTTGCTTGGCAAGTGTTTTTTAAAAATGCATATTTTGGGCCGGGTGTGGTGGCTCACGCCTGTAATCCCAGCACTTTGGGAGGCTGAGGCAGGTGGATCTTGAGGTCAGAAGTTCAAGACCAGCCTGGCCAAGATGGTGAAACCCCATCTCTACTAAAAAAAAAAAAAAAAAATACGAACATTAGCCAGGTATGGTGGCAGGTGCCTGTAATCCCAGCTACGCAGGAGGCTGCAGCAGAGAATTGCTTGAACCTGGAAGGTGGAGGTTGCAGTGAGCAGAGATTGCACCACTGTCCTCCAGCCTGGGTGACAGAGTGAGACTCCGTCTCAAAAAAAAAAAAAAAAAAAAAAAATGCGTATTTTGTGGCTGGGCGAGGTGACTCACACCTGTAATTCCAGCACTTTCGGAGGCTGAGGCAGGAGGGTCACTTGAGACTGGAAGTTTGAGGCCAGCATGGGCAACATTGCGAAACCCTGTCTCTACAAAAATTTAAAAACTAGCCAGACATGGTGGTGCACGGCTGTAGTCTTAGCTGCTTGGGAGGATGAGGCAGGATTACTTGAGCCCAGGAGTTTGAGGCCAGCCTGGGCAACATGGCAAGATCCAATCTCTAAAAGTAAAGTAAAATTAAACACACACAAAAACACCCTCTTTTGTCCGGGCACAGTGGCTCACGCCTGTAATCCTAGCATTTTGGGAGGCTGAGGCAGGTGAATCACTTGAGGTCAGGAGTTCGAGACCAGCCCGGCCAACATGGTGAAACCCCATCTCTACTAAAAATACAAAAATTAGCTGAGTATGGTGGCACACACCTGTAATTCCAGCTACTAGGGAAGCTGAGGCAGGAGAATCGCTTGAACCGAGGAGGCGGAAGTTGCAATGAGCCGAGATTGCGCCAGTATACTCCAGCCTGGGCGACAGAGTGAGATACTCAAAAAAAAAGAAAACACCCTCTTTTTATTGGGAAATACTGAAATCCTTTGGAGTTCTAAAATCCTGTAATTCTGTGAAAAGAGTTACCTAACTAATGTGCAAGGCCCATGTGGTGAAAAGAGTTCCTTGGAATGAAGTTCAAAATAGTAAAAGTCCTGTAGAACAGTGAATCCACTCTGCTGCTCATTCACTCAGTGCACTCACCTTGTAGCTTTCCTGCCATCATGGCAAAATGCCAAGTGCTGAGGATTCTTTCAGTTGGCAAATATTAGTTGTGCTATGATTGCCAGGTACTGGAGATGATTGAAACAGGACTTCTGCCACCAAAAAGTTCACAGCGTCATGATGTCACCCAGTAGGTGTTGAGTTGCCACTTGTTATTATCCTTGGAATTGGCTGCTTCAGAGCAGTCAGCTTTTTGTTGGAAGGCTAAGGCAGTGCCATGTTCACACCCTGAATCCTGAGATGATGTTCTTCTATCAGGTTCCAAACTTCCCTCATCTTTTTATACCGTGAAGCCTACGTGTGAGGAAGTGTTGCCCAGCCTTACTAGCTTTGGATTTGGGTTGTGAGAGAAATGTACGCTTATTATACAGCACTTGGTTTGGTTGGAGGAAATGTACACTTGTTATATGTATAATGGCTAGAGACTGCCTCCTTTCATGCTGTATTGGACTTAGCAGCTGAACACAAGGACTGTCTCCTCTTTGCAGCTCTTTAGTTTTAGAATTGCTGGGTCAAGAGTTGTTAGGTGGTTCTTTATGTGAGTCTCAATATACCTTTCTAAACAGCTTAGTGCTCCCACAACTTTATAGGCGTTAGGGTTTTTTTCAGTGGTCTGTTGTTCCCACATTCATGATTTTATTTGATCCTTGGAATATCCTCATTTTGTAGCTGTGGACTTTGAAATTCAGAGCAGTTCCCAGTGATGCACAGTGGCCTTCTGCACGAGGCGCCTGGCCTCCTTACGTCTTTGCTCTCCTTCCCACCCTGCTGTATTGTCTCCTGGGCAGTCTGTGCTCCCTTCTCTTAGGGTCATTGTGACTTGCAGGAAACATAATGTTTGGAACCAAACTAGGGATTCCCTGCCAAATGTTGTATCTTGAGTCATATCATCCTCTTCAGGAGAAGCTGACATGTGCCCTCTAGGCCTTTTGTGTCATCCCAGAATGTTTTGCTTCTGGTCTGGCTTCTCAGGCATTCCTGCAATAACGTGCCTTTTCCTTCAATAGGGAAGAACCTACGGCAGATGAGCAAGGACTACCAACAAGTGTTGCTGGACGTCCGGCGGTCATTGCGGCGGTTCCCTCCTGGTGAGAAGCTCTCCCGGTCCTGCCACATTTGGAAAGACTGTATCTGTTCCAGGTCATACCATGTGACCTAATATGCTGGACCCTGCCGCCTCAGGGACCTTCAGAGCTCTCCTTTTGCTGAGTCATCCTTTTCTTGACTGGTCACTTTCAGACCCCCACTGTGAAAGCCTGAACCAAAAATAATTTCTCCTGGCCTAGAGGTGGTGAATGAGAGAAGAGGTTTTTGTTTTTCCTTGAAGCCACAAAAAGGAGTTAATAAGGATTGTTAGAGCCATCAGTCTGGCATTAAAGAGCAGATTGGTGTGGAATTGGGCACCAACAAGAATGAGTAATATCTTAATTAGGTTTAAAAACGATGGTACCTTGCGCATACATATGTAAGATTCCTTAGAGGGAAGAGAGGCCATTCCCTGTTTGTGTAAGAGTATATTCCTTAATTAACAAATTAAGCAGCAATAGATAAAAAAATAAATAAATAAAAACAAAACAAACAAACAAAAAAGAATGTATTCCTAAAATTACCTCTTTATTTCAGGAAGAAAGAAAAGAAGGACCGTTGTCTCAATTTTCACAGTGAAGGGAACTGGGCAACAAACCTCACATGGATGACCTATTTTTCTTCCTCTGGCAACTCCACCTTTAGGTCATGAAGAGAGGAGAATTGCTAAAGGGAACAGGAGCCTCTAAGCTGGCTGCCTCCCTCTTCTGCACTGTGCTCTGGCCTGGCTTTTGTTGTTGAAGGGGCTGCTTTCCTGCTGGCATTCTTGCTCCCTGGACAGATTCTTGCAATACCCAGGTAGCAGTAGCCTGCCAGCGTGGTTTTGATAAAAGCACATGCCCACGGTCCATTCCCTTTTCCTAGCCTGCTGGTTTGGATGAGATCATATAGGACAGATGCCTCCCTTTTTTTTTTTTTTTTAAAGACAGAGTTTCACTCTTGTTGCAGGCTGGAGTGCAATGGCACTGTCTCAGCTCACTACAACCTCCGCCTCCCAGGTTCAGGCAGTTCTCCTGCCTCAGCCTCCCAAGTAGCTGGGATTACAGGTGCCCGCCACCACGCCCAGCTAATTTTGTGTGTGTGTGTTTTTAATAGAGATGGGGTTTCACCATGTTGGCCAGGCTGCTCTCGAACTCCTGACCTCAGGTGATGCACGTACCTCAGCCTCCCAAAGTGCTGGGATTACAGGCAAGAGCCACCCCCATTTTTTCCTAGGTAACCTGTTTTCCCTCTGAACCCTTTATTCCTCTTCCATTGATGTAATATCTGTGATACGCTTTCTGTAGGCTGAACTTACAGTGTGGCTTCATATTCTTTTTCCATTCATGGTCTTCTGGGCTTGGCTCACTGCTTTTCTGCTGAAAATTCACACAGGGTTTAATTTTTACTCTCACTCCTTTCACTGCTTCACCTATCAGCAGCCCTGGGTTTGCTTCGTTTCCTTATTTATCTTTTAGGGTATGCTTTTTATTTGAGAAGGGGTGGGGTAAATATGGGCAAGAGGTGAGTTTTGCTCTTACCTGCAATCCTTTGTCCGGTTTAGTTTGGGCCCTTACATTAGCTGCTTTCTCTCTCTGAGTATGTGTTTGTAACTGAAAGCTAATGGTGTGGAGAAGCTGTGCATGTGCCATTCTTCTAACCTGGCTCATAAGGCCAAGGCATTTTTACTGCTGGCAGCACTAGCTCCAGCAGTAAAAGAACTCCCTGAAAGAACTCCTGAGACAGGCTTCCCTATTTCCAGCTATAATACATCTTTGGATCAAGAGGATCAGTTTTTCCTGTAACGTTTGCTTTGGTTTAAAGGGGACCGTGTAACTTTAAAATTTTTTTATTTTTATATAATTTCATACTTACTGAAAGGTTGTAAAAATAGGACAAAGAATTCCCCAGATACCTTTTACCCAGATTTCCTTTTGTTTTCACATTTTACTACATTTGCTTTTTTTTTCTTGGAGACGGAGTCTTGCTCTCTCGCCCGGGCTGCAGTGCAGTGGCACGATCTCAGCTCACTGCAAGCTCTGGTTCCTGGGTTCATGCCATTCTCCTGCCTCAGCCTCCCAAGTAGCTGGGACTACAGGCGCCTGCCACCACGCCCAGCTAATTTTTTGTATTTTTTATTAGAGACGGGGTTTTTCACCATATTAGCCAGGATGGTCTCGATCTCCTGACCTCGTGATCCACCTGCCTCTGCCTCCCAAAGTGCTGGGATTACAGGCGTGAGCCACCGCGCCTGGCCTACATTTGCTTTTTTAGCTGCTTTCTGTCTTTCCTTCGCTTTACACATAGACATACACTTTTTCTCTGAACTATTTAAGAGTAAGTTGCAAACATGACATCTTTTTACCCCAAGTGTTTCAGGACATATTTCCTAAATATAAGGCTCTCATGTAATCACAGTACACTGAGCAACATCAGTAACAACACTGAAAAATAGTTAACTAATTAATCCACAGATTTTATTCACATTTCACCATTTCTTCGAGTAATGTGCTTCACTGGAAAAGGAAATATAGATTTATGCGTTTCTCATGCTGTTGTCCTATATCTTTAGCCATTTTTAATCTGGAACAGTTCCTTTGTATTGTATGAGAGTTAAATTTCTCTTCCTTTGGGGATATTGGGTATTTCTTCATTGTGAGATTGAGGTCTGTGCGCTGTTGATAGAAATCCTGCAGACATGATGCTGAGCTCTGTCAGTGCATCACCTCGGGAGGCAGAGGCCGTCTGTGGCTCCCATAGTTGAAATTCTGCAGTTAAATACTGTGTCCCAGCAGTATTAACTGCAGCAACTTGGTTAGGGTGGCATCTGCAGCTTCCCCTACTGGAAAGCTAGCAGCTGCCTTTTCCTGTATGCCAGGTGGTATCAACAGTGGATCTTGATATGCGTTGCCAAATTATTTGTAATTCATTTTCCTTTTTTCTCTGAAAATTCATTGCTGGCCTTCTTCGACCTCCTTGTTAACTAGGCTGCTTGGTATGTTCAAAGGCATCTCTGTTCCTGTCCCCAGGCATGCCAGAGGAACAGAGAGAAGGGCTCCAGGAAGAACTGATTGACATCATCCTCCTCATCTTGGAGCGCAACCCTCAGCTGCACTACTACCAGGGCTACCATGACATTGTGGTCACATTTCTGCTGGTGGTAGGCGAGAGGCTGGCAACATCCCTGGTAGAAAAATTATCTACCCACCACCTCAGGTACCAGTAGAGAGGAACACAAGACGACGGGCATCACTCCTCAGCCGTCCTGGGGATAACTCACTGGCCTGTTTTCTGGTCAGCTTTTTTAGGAGTTTGAGCCCTCGCCACCCTGAGCCCTGATCTAAGTGTTTGGTAACCAGGCTTATTGAATTGTCTCCCTCCAGGGATTTTATGGATCCAACAATGGACAACACCAAGCATATATTAAACTATCTGATGCCCATCATTGACCAGGTGAATCCAGAGCTCCATGACTTCATGCAGAGGTACATATGTGTCTGCATTTCTGTGTGCATGCATACACACGCCCACACCCCCCCACACCTGAAACACTCCTCACAAGCCGAGCGCAGTTTCCTCATTGTCTTGGGTGGATTTGTTAAGTTCTCCCCAGTTGTTCCAGTCACCAGCAATCTGGGTAATTCAGTTCTTGGAGCATTTTTGGGGACTGTGCTCTTTGGGGGACATAGCCCATCCCTTGAGTTTACATCTAGTGGGGAGAGGTGGATAAGGTATGTATGCCAAGGTAAGATGTTGAGGTTATTGCCACAAGAGAAACACAAAGTCCTGTGGGATCCAGTGGCGAGAAGGGGAAGGCCAACAATGGGTTGTTTTATTTCCCAAGTACCAAAGAGAAGAAATATTTTTTTGCAAATCCCATGTGATGTTTTGTTTCTTCTCTGTTTAGTTGGAAATGTGTTCTTGGCCAATGCCTCTTTTTTTAAAATTTTTTAAAAGGTAATGGCTATGCCTTCTTTTTTTTTGAGATGGAGTATTTTCTCTTGTTGCCCAGGCTGGAGTGCAATGGCATGATCTTGGCTCACTGCAACCTCTATCTTCCGGGTTCAAGCGATTCTTCTGCCTCAGCCTCAAGTAGCTGGGATTACAGGCATGCGCCACCACGCTCGGCTAATTTTGTATTTTTAGTAGAGACAGGGTTTCTCCATGTTGGTCAGGCTGGTCTCGAGCTCCCGATGTCAGGTGATCCGCCCGCTTTGGCCTCCCAAAGTGCTGAGATTATAGGCGTGACTCACCGTGTCTGGCAGCTACATCTTAAGATATTTCAGTTGTCTCATGTTAACAGAAAAATTAATGCAGTCATGTTTTCAGGCTTGGGAATATGTACCTGTGCCCCCCAGAAGGGTAAGACTTAGTCAGAAGGAGAATCATGGCGTAGTTCTCTGAAAACAACTGCTTCTCGTTCCTGTAGTTGACATTTGTTGGCCAGTAGGCGAGCACCCAGTGAGATAAAGCAGCCAGGACCCTGTTGTGGTGTTAGTGTTGTGGTACACCTTAAAGACTTTGTATTAAATATTTTGTAAGGAGAAGATGCTGAATTCCTAGGTAACTGAATTTTCCAGAAATCTTATTCCTAAATGCTTCCTTCTCACCAGCGCTATAAGGCCCAGAGAGAGGGAAGGGATGGCCCACAGGACCTGACACCTGCCTTTCCTTTGTTTCTAGTGCTGAGGTAGGGACCATCTTTGCCCTCAGCTGGCTCATCACCTGGTTTGGGCATGTCCTGTCTGACTTCAGGCACGTCGTGCGGTTATATGACTTCTTCCTGGCCTGCCACCCACTGATGCCGATTTACTTTGCAGCCGTGGTAGGTACAGGCCACGAGCCAGCAGCTGGGTTCACCATCACCCATCCCACTGTGGTCATTTTCCCTGAAGGGAAACCTGGGGATTATGGAAAGATGCAAAAGACAGCACTTCCCAGGCTGGTGTCCCTGGACACCATTCTGTGCAGTATTAATGGGGGTGTCACACACAAAAAATAGTAAGTTGGGAAATGCTGGGTATAAACAAAATCAGATTTTTTTTGCTGCATGACACTTCTGAACCTTTAAAATGCTAATCTGCATTGTGAATTGTCAGGGTTCCTGTTGACATTGTCTGGAATATATGTTCAGCTGATGAACACAATTAGGGAAATAGTAGCGTAAGCTGTCAACTCCAGATTTAAGAAAAGAAGAGATCTGGTGTCATGACAGACAAGGGAGGCGGCTTGCGGTGGAGGGTAGGGGCTTCAGTTAGTAGAAGGGTCTTGAGGGATGGGGTGGAGATGGGAATTCAGGGAAGTCCTTCAATGACCACTGGTCCCTTGAGCATCTGTGGATTTGTGGACCAACAGTCAGAAGGAAGATGCTTAAAGGGAGCAAGACTGTTCTTTCTACTGTTTTGAACCATTTCTTCTATGCTGGAGCTCCAGGAATCTCCCAATAATTCTCCTACTTTCTCCTAAAAGAATCTCCTTCATTTCTTTCAAGACTTAAAGGGACACCTGAGCAGCCCAGCATGCCCGAAGGACTTAGATTGTAACTGGTCAGCCTTTCATGTCATGTGGTGGAAGTTTGCAGGAAGGGCCAGAGAGTAGGAGTAGCACTGAGCGTATATATGTTATTACTTCCTTGATGGATACAAGAGTTTGCTCAACATTTGGGCTGAGTCCTGTCTGTTACCAGTTTAAATTCATCTGCAAGGATAATGGAGTGCAGGTGGCCCAGGCCCTGTGTGTCTGGCCTCTGACTGCAAGGCTTTACTACCTCCCCACAGATTGTGTTGTATCGCGAGCAGGAAGTCCTGGACTGTGACTGTGACATGGCCTCGGTCCACCACCTGTTGTCCCAGATCCCTCAGGACTTGCCCTATGAGACACTGATCAGCAGAGCAGGAGACCTTTTTGTTCAGTTTCCCCCATCCGAACTTGCTCGGGAGGCCGCTGCCCAACAGCAAGCTGAGAGGTGAGCAAGGCTGGGACACTGGTTGAATGGGGGTGGCTGTAAATGAGCAGAAGCGAGGGAAGGTTTGTGTCTGGTGGGATAGGGTTGGGGCATGTTTCCAGAGATCTGAGCTTAGGCCAGTGGAATCCCCACTGTAGACATATGGGTCTTTATCATAAAGAGCTTTCCCAGCAATGAAAGGCTCTGCCCGCAGCCTATGTGGTGTAGTTTTGCTTTCCTCCTCCTCTTTCATACCACTTCCTTCCTTCCGTCTCTTTCCCCTGCAGGACGGCAGCCTCTACTTTCAAAGACTTTGAGCTGGCATCAGCCCAGCAGAGGCCTGATATGGTGCTGCGGCAGCGGTTTCGGGGACTTCTGCGGCCTGAAGATCGAACAAAAGATGTCCTGACCAAGCCAAGGACCAACCGCTTTGTGAAATTGGCAGTGATGGGGCTGACAGTGGCACTTGGAGCGGCTGCACTGGCTGTGGTGAAAAGTGCCCTGGAATGGGCCCCTAAGTTTCAGCTGCAGCTGTTTCCCTGAAAGCCAGAGAAGACCTTCCTCTTACATCACATTAAGGTCTCACCCTTCCATGGAAGGATTGGGAGGGGTGGAATTTCCTTTATTAAAAGGGTTTCTGTCCAGAGTTTTTTATTCCTGCCACCCTGCCCTGCCCGTTTGTGTTTGCCTTTACTTCAGAGGCCAGTAGCAGAGCCTACCTGACACAGAGGGGACCTGGGGGCCTGGCACAGAATCTTATGCCTCTCCCAGTGGGCTTTTGGATGGGCTCTCTGCCACCTCCCTGGTGTTGGAGGAAGTGGGTTTCTGAAGCTTGCAGCTGCTTTTGCAACCTGCTGGGCCTGGGCTGCCCTAGTTACCGGGAACCTCCTAGTCACCCCATAGAAGGTGAACTGGAACATGGGATGCCCTCTTACTGCTCCTGCTTGCCTGCATCAGATGGACACAGAAGGAGGGGGCTGCTGCTGAAGGAGTCAGGCTTGGGATGGAGAGCAAGAGGCCAAAGGACTCGTCTGGGAGCATGATCGGCCCCTCTTACTAGCAGCTCCATCAGCTGATCAGAAATCAGAGACAGAAGGGAACTAGGTTACTCGTTAAATCCTACCTATTTTCAGCCTAGAAATCACATGGGCGTTTCCAGTCAAGTGGGAAGGAAGCTCATTTTTAGGGCCTAGACCTAGACTAGTTTTGCCTGCCTTTTTTTCCTCCCTGCTTTCTTCTACAAGCCACACAACATTGCTTATAAAAGGTACTTTTATTACTATTTTTAGAATATATACACCCCATATGTAAATTACCCTCACTTTTAAAGTAATAATAGTTCCTTCACGGAAAAAAAAATAGTTCTCATCAGAAGGATGAGCTTCTAAGATCCTGAATTTTACTTTCTACTTGATTAACATTTTCGCTTTAGCCAGAGTTGCTATTTGCAAACAGCTTTCCACTTCCAAAGTGCCACTTTCTGACCGGTTTTTCTTCCTGTTTTCCTCAAATCATCCTACTCCCAAATAGGCACCCACTCACTACCTTGGCGTCGTTTTTTGGGTCTGACTTGACTCGTCAACTGCTGGTCTCTCCCACCTGGTTGGAAATGTCGTTGGAAACTTGCAAAGACTCTCCAGACCTTAGGGAACAAGAGGCATCACTCAGTCCTTCTGGGACAGCTTCCCTGTAAGCAAAGCCAGGTTTGTTTTAGATTCACTCTGGCCTGAAAAAAAAAGTGCCTTTTGCTGCTTTAAAGAATTGGGGTATATGGTATGAAGCAGCCATGTACTTGTATTTTCCTGGTCTTTCCTGGGCACTCTTCTCTCTTGGCAGATGTTTTCTTAAAGTGAACACACCAGAAGCACTCTACCCCACCATATCCAGTCCTCTTTGCATGCCTGTTGTGTGCAGGGTGGAGGGTGTCCCACGTGCCAGAGCAGCTGGGAGCCCTGTCCGCTGAGTTACACTAAGCACTTTATTTTTATTTATTTTATTATTATTTTCTTTTTTCTGAGATGGAGTCTCACTCTGTTGCCCAGGCTGGAGTGCAGTGGTGCAGTCTCAGCTCACTGCAACCTCCGCCTCCCAAGTTCAGGCAATTCTCGCTGCCTCAGCCTCCCGAGTAGCTGGGACTACAGGCACCTGCTACCACGCCTGACTAATTTTTGTATTTTTAGTAGAGATGGGGTTTCGCCACGTTGGCCAGGCTGGTCTCGAACTCCTGACCTCAGGTGATCTGCCCGTCTCGTCCTCCCAAAGTGCTGGGATTACAGGTGTGAGCCACCACGCCCAGCCACCACTACGCACTTTAAAACCAAAAAAAGCTCAAAGGGATGGATCATTGTCCATGGCTCAGGAGCCCCACTGTGGGGTAAGTGTGATGTCGATGGATTAATTTAGACAGTGGTGTATTCATCAGGGCAAAGGAAATTCTTCCAGAGGTGATGATGCGGCAGATATTCCCAGTGCTCTCCCAAAGCAAGCTGGCCCTCTTGTCATCCTCTCAGTGGGCGGCACCAGCTGCCCCTCCTTCCACAAGTACTCAAGCCTGTTTGTAAATACTGAAGGAATTGATGGGGTTGAGGAAAGGAGGTGCATGTGACCAGGGTCCCAAGGCCACAGCTTTTCAGATCCTAGGAAGCAAGTGGCATTTGCTTGAGTTGTGGCCTCGGAAGGAGAATGTTTATCTGTTTTCTAACTTTGCTGACACCAGGATTCTCCCTGTCATTGAGAAGAAAGCATTATCTAATTACCTTCAGGTGGTTTACTTATTCTGTAAAGAATATGTGTAAATATTTTGTACAGAGCCCTGTATCAAATAAACAGCCATATGTGGTTACTAATCACCTCTTCTGTCATTCCGTCCTTGGCCACCGCTCAGTGGGAATGGTCTCTGATCTGGATGCTCCCACCTTCCATGTCAGGCCCAGAACTGTGCCATGGTCTGTGGACTCCTGGTCAGCCTTGACTGGCTAGGAGACCTTGGGCAGTACCTACAGTCTTGCTGTTTCTGTTTCATCTGCAAGAATTATGACCCACACACTCCAGCTGCAGCCCAGGGCACTGTGATATTTTATACGTGTGTAGATGTTTTTGTCCACAGTTCCTGGTTCATCACTCCCATAACCCTTTGTTATAATGTTGGGACACTGCAGGCCTCAGAAAACGGAATCTCTGTCTGTGACCTTCTCCTGCCCCATTTCACTTGCTCAACACCAGACTTTAATCTGACTGTAGCTCATAAGACCCTCATTCCAGAGAGGGTGCTGCCCCATACCCGGAAGGAGGAACGCTGCACAGAGAGGCCAAGAAGCATCTGGACAGACAGGCCTTGCTGGGTTTAGACCTTATGCTTTTTGTCCAGTTTCATCTCAACACAGCTGCCATGCTTCAGCCATGCCTATCCAATGACGTCTCCATAAAAGGCCCAGGAACACGGGAGCTTCTGAAGAGCTGAACATGTGGAGGGAGGGGAACGAGAACTTGTCCATGTGCCAAGAGGGTGGCGCACCCCCACTCCATGGGGACAGAAGCTCCAGCATTTGCCCAGGACCCGTCCAGACCTCACCCTGTGTGTATCTTCATCTGGCTGTTTACTTATTTGTATCCTTTTCTAATAATGTTTGTAATAAACTGGTAAACATAAGTTTCCCTGAGTTCTGTGAGCCACTCTTGGCAAATCATGCCACCCAAAGAGGGTGGTCAGTCCAATGTTGTGGCAGAGGCGGCGGTCTTGTGGGACAGAGCCTTGAACCTGTGGATTCCATTTCCAGATACTATAGGTAGGGTGAGCACTGAATTGAATTGGAGGATACCCAGCTGATGTAGGCTGCAGAATTGCTTGCTTGCTTGGTGTCAGGGGAGAAATCCCCAACACATTTGGCCACAGATGTCTGTTGGTATTGAGAGAGCAGTGGAGGAAAACACAGTTTGAGTTCATGTTTTTTCCACTCTGGGTACTGTCACAGTCGACACAACTGGTGCGGGTCTGGGGTGCTCTTGGTGTGTTTCACACCCTGGTCTGGGGATCCTAGGAGCTGGCATTTGGTTTTGGATCCTAACCAGAGCTTGATGTGCCGCTTCTCCACATGCCCTTTCTGTCCACAGAGGAGCTGCTCAGCCTACTCTTGCCAAGCTTTCCAGTATCCTCCAGACACTGCTGGCTGCTGGGGAGCGCGCGCGCAGAGCAGTGCCCGGTGCAGGGCCTCCACCCTGGGGATGGGGCCATCGGGGAGACACTGTTGTCTGTGTTGTTTGTTTCCTTGGCTCAGAGGGGAGATGCGCAGGTTCCCGGGGCCAAGCCAGTGGCACTCAGCTCCTGCCACTGTGGGCCAGGGTCACACTGCCCTTTGATCTGACAGTCGTGGATTACGCAGGCTGCCCAGGGCACTGCGCTGCCTCTGAAAGCTCACACCAGAGCTGCACTCCAGGAGCAATCTATCCTGCAGCAAATTCAGGGCACTTTCATAGAAGGTGAGGGTGGAATGTGAAGGATGAATAGAATTATGATAATTGGAGAACTAAAGGAAGGGTATGTGTGGGATACTAAGAAATATTTGGTCTTTCTCCTGGGTTCCTAACACGGGTCTCCTACAACCCTTGGAATTTCGTGAGTGGTGAGTGTCTTTTGTTATTCATAACCCCTTTCCAGCCCATTTGAGTTCATGCTAATGAATTCGTTAGAGCAGGGCCCCTAGATTGCCTCGGGGTTGCTCCTGCACCAGAAAGACCAGGTGATTCGAGGGCGGAAACTTTCAATCCCAAGCAGTGACTCCTGGGAGTTGGAGTGACAGAGGTGGAGCACTTTACAAACTTGAGATTCAGGGCTGGGCGCGGTGGCTCACGCCTATAATTCCAGCACTTTGGGAGGCCGAGGCAGGTGGATCACCTGAGGTCAGGAGTTCGAGACCAGCCTGGCCAACATGGTGAAACCCCGTCTCTACTAAAATACAAAAATTAGCCGGGCATGATGGCGGGTGCCTGTAATCCCAGCTACTCGGGAGGCTGAGGCAGGAGAATTACTTGAACTTGGGAGGCGGAGGTTGCAGTGAGCCAAGACTGCACCCCTGCACTCCAGCCTGGGCAACAGAGCAAAACTCCGTCTCAAAAAAAAAACAAAAAAAACCCCAAAACTTGAGATTGCAGTGGCTGCCAGTCGCTCCCATCCCTAACCCTGTTCATCTCAAGCGTGGCTGTTCCTGCCCACACTGCATCCTTGAGGACACCACACCAGGAAGCGTCAGGGCAGGGTGATCTTCAGTTCTGAGTCACTCAGGCAAATTATTGAACCTGAGGGGGTGGAGTCATGGGAACCCCTGAATGTGTAGTTGGCCAGGAAGTGTGGGTAGCCCAGGAAGTGTGGGTAGCCCAGGAAGTGTGGGTAGCCTGGGCACCCCATCTGTGACTCCATCGGAAGTGTGGGACTGAGCCCTTTAATCTGTGGAACCTGACACTAGCCCCAGTTGGTGTCAGAGAGCTGGAAAAGTGGTGTCAGACAACACCACACAGTATGCAAGGCTGAGGGGAAACGCCAGTGTAAAAATAACACGTAACAAGTGTAGGTGGTTTGGGGCCAACAAAGCCCGGGAGGGCTCGGGTTTAGGGTCTGTGGAGCACTGGGGCCGGGCAGGATGGCTGTAGTGCTGTGGAGAGTTGAGGCTGCCTTAGGGATGATTTGGGGGTGAAGATAGGCCTTGACCTGAGCTGGGTTTGGAGGGAGAATTATTAGTGGCCTGATGGGGTCTTAGACTGAGGGTCGAGTGTGTTCCTTCCTTCCTGGCTGGGTGAGCATCTAAGTCACTGCCTCTCGGAGGCTCACGTCCATAACAGTAAAGCAGGGATGGTCTTGGCCCTCCTGGAGGGCTTCCTGCAAGGGTGTTGGTGAAATGTGTTTCTATTTGTGAAGCTGTGCTAGTGCTGTTGCCATTTTCATGAGCAGTTACCAATCAACAAACACTTGTAGCCAGCCCTGCACCGGGCCCACGATCACCCAGGGATGAAGTGGTGACCGAAAGCAGGAACAGGCCGGAGCCTTCACCAGCTAAGAGGTGAGACCCTCAGCTGGGGCTGAGACCCAGCCTGGCTGTATCTTCCTCCCCCTGCCACTGTCCCCTCTGGTGTTCTGCTGGTGGCCCCTGCTGCCAATTCCTGCTCCTCACGAGGGCCCCTGCTCCCTGGTCTTTTCTCCAGACTTCCTCATGGTTGGCACTTGGGATCACCAGGCTGCGGGCTCACCTTCAGCTGCCTGCATTTGAGCAGATTCCATGCCAGCCCCAAGCACTAGAGGAAGACACCAGTGAGCGCCGGCATAGGCCGACGGGCTACCCTCCGTGGCAGCTGCTCTTTATCTGAGCAATGGGCTTCCACTCACCTTCCCCTGCCCCTGTCCTGCCCCTGAGGAGAGAATGATGATCATTGTGTCACTCAAGTACCTTTGGGACCTCTTGCTGCTTCCTCTCGATGGTTTGAGTCCAAAGCCCTGGGGTTTGGTTTTCGTTCGGCCCTGGAGAGTTGGTGCTGGCCTCTCAAGTTCTGGGCCCCTGGCATGGGTGAGCCTTGGGAGGTGGAGGCACCTCCACCTGACCCTGCAGTAGAGGGTGCCCTGGGCCTGCTCGTCTTAAGACCTTTCACTTGCAGGTGCAAGGCGGGTGGAGCTGAGGCAGGAACCGGGGTTGGCCCTACACAGCTCCCTGCTCCTCCGCACCACTGCAGCATGGATGGGGCAGGCCGAGCAAAGCCACAGCCAGCACAGCCCTCTCTGCTGGTCTCGCCCTCACCTGTGATACGCCGCGCGTAGAGCCCCACTTCATCTTCCTCTTACGAGAAAAAGGATGGTGCAAGGGCACTGGAAAGGCCTCGGCGTGAGTCCTGGGGTGGTGAGGACTGTGGCAAACTGGAGGGTGTACACCCCATGAAGAGATTTGACATCTCTGTGACTCCATTCCCCCCAGGTAGAAGTGAGGACCTGGCATTACCAAGCTTTGACATTTTCAAGAGAAGCAGGGCATCTAGATTTTAATGTGGTAAACGATGTTGCCAATTTAAAAAGATGGGCAACCGATTTAAATTTCTAAAACAACACTGGGTGGACTGGTTACAGCCTGTGGTACCACAAGAGAACAATCTCTGCTTTTGTCTCATGCCCAGGCTCCTGAGAGACACCAGGCCAGGCCCTGGCAAGAGAGGGGAGAGTGGGTATGAGACAGCGTCTGCCTGAGCTGGTCCCATCCACACGCCTGCAGCCTGGCTCTCCTCTGCTTTTTCTGTTTCCTCCCAGTCAGTGGTTCTGCCTGGGCCTTTCTGCCTCCAGGGCCGGGGAGGCTGCCTGAGTGTGCCCCTCATCCTCTGCGACGGTTGACTGCCCTGAGCCAATGCAGGCAGTGCCGAAGGACCCAGTCCACTCACACATTCTCAGACAGCTCTGCGCACAGTGACTGGGGCCAGCTCTTGAGTCCTGGCATCCAACGGCAGGTGGCAGTGCCTTTCCAGTTGCTAGAACAGGCCCTTCCCCACAAAATCACAGGCCTTCAGCAGCAGAGGCGCCCTCTGCCTGCTATGATGATGGTCACGTCACAGCGTGGACAATGTGTTGGGCATCAAATACCAGATCTCAAAAGGGGAAGGAGGGTGGGTCACAGAGCGGAGGAAAGACTTAGAGAATGAACATCCCAGGACCCTGTCTTAGTAACCTCCGACCAGCACAGAGTGGGTTCTAGTAAATACTGCTGAATCGATACTGTGCCATCTTGCTTGAGACGAGAAAATAGGATGGACAACCCCACCCCTCAACTGCAGCAGCTTCGTTCCTTCTTGAACTATCTACCTGCCAACCCTAGATGCCTGCTGAGAGGTCAAAAGGGAGCAGGAGTGGCAAGACTTCCCCTCCCGCCCCTAAGCCCATCCTTCTCTGCAGACTTGACACACTGCACACTCCACCTGTCCTGGCTGACGGTGACCCAAGAGCATCCTTGCCCCTGAGGCTGGGCATGGGGTCCACATCTGGTAGAAAGGTCCCAGTGCTCAGTCACAGCCTCATTCTACCACAGATGGACTGACAAGTCAACTTTCTGATGCAGTTCCCAGAGACCTCAGGATCCTGCCTGTGTGTAGAGTCCCAGGCCAGGACATTCATTTCCTCTCAAGGACATCACACTCATCCCTTCCCGGAAAACCATTTTAATTATAATAGCTTACACAGGCTGCAGAGAGGGAGACGCAGAGCCGGACCTGACGGGCTGTGCTTTCAAAACTGTGCAGTCTCCTTCCTGGCTCTGAACAGGTTAGCAAGAGTTCCAAGAGGCCTCAGGCCTCCAACCACAAAGGCAGAGAAGTTAGCCCCAGAAAGCTGACAGCTGAAGGCGGGGAGGCTGAGAGTGCTTGGTGTTTGACAGATGAGTGTTGTGGTGGGAGGAGTATGGAGTCACACAGAGGCTCCACCCAGCAAGGCCTCTGGCCAGGGGCTATGTTTAAGGCTGGGGTCAGGCAGAGGTGGGAGCCGCAGGGGAGAGAAGTCTGGCCGGCAAGCCCCAAGGGAAGGACAAAGGCACTGGGGCAGATGTGACCGTGGACAACCGCAGTGCAGGCAGGGCCCCTACAACGCTACAGCAAGCAAGGCCGTCCACGAAGCTCCCTGAGCTACATTCTAACAGAATGTGGATGTGGGGCTGGGTCAGCATGTGGCCCCACCATCTTTAGCTCAGTGGCAGTTCTGACAGCTTGGGTGGCAAGGAATCCCATTTACCCTGCAGCGGCAGCCCCCGCTGGTGTCTCCTGGGCCCTAGAGGATGGGAGGAAGAGAAGAGAATGTCAGCGCAGTGCAGAGACTGCCCCCACAGCCGAGCGCTCTCCCACCCCGGGCCTTTGCCTCTGCAGGTCCTCCTGCAAGAATGGCCTGGTCAGCCTCAGCTACCTGATGGAGAGTCACTGAGGCCTTTTCTGGGCTCCCACAGCACTCAGTCTACCCACGCCTAGATCCGGGAACAGGCCAGGGAGAGGATCTGACCACTCTGCATATTCTAGACATGTCAGCATGCGAGAGGGCAGTTTCCTCTGCCTCCACCTGTCTGAAAGTCTACCTGAACGTAGCAACAGGCCCCCAATTCCAGAGCACACCCCTAATAACGACAGCTACCATCTGCAAGGGTGCTCACCAAGTGACAGGCTCTCTAAGCACTTCTCTTGCAATTTTTCCACTTGATTCTGACAACAAGCCTGAGATAAGCCCAGCTATCATCTCCATTTCACAGAGGAAATGGGGCTGACAGAGGTGAGTGGCAGGCAGCCTAATCACACAGTCAGTATGTGCCAGAGCCAGGGGCCAATCCACCTCTGACTCCAGATCGAACCTTTACTTGCTGTCCTCTAGGGCAGGAGTGGGCAAACCTTTTCTGCAAAGGGCCAGTCATTTTGGGCCGGGCAGCCATACGGCCTCTGCCTCTGTAGTGTAAAAGCAACCACAGCCAACATGTGAATGAATGAACACGGCTGTGCTCCAAAGCACTTTACCTACGGACACTGAAACGTGGATTTCATGTAATTTTCACGTCACAAAATAGTCATCTTCTGGTATTTTTTCAACCATTTAAAGATGTAAAGAACATTCTTGCGGCCCGGTGGCTCACGCCTGTAATCCTAGCACTTTGGGAGGCCGAGGCAGGTGGATCACCTGCGGTCGGGAATTTGAGACCAGTCTGACCAACATGGAGAAACCCCGTCTCTCCTAAAAATACAAAACTAGCCGGGCGTGGTGGCGCATGCCTGTAATCCCAGCTACTTGGGAGGCTGAGGCAGGAGAATTGCTTGAACCCGGAAGGCAGAGGTTGCAGTGAGCTGAGATTGTGCTATTGCACTCCAGCCTGGGCAACAAGAGTGAAACTCCGTTTCAAAAAAAAAAAAAAAAATTCTTACCTCGGGAGCTGTACAAATTCAGGTGCTGGGTTGGATATGGCCCATGGGCTGTAGTTTTCCCAGCCCTCCTCTAAGGCAAAGCCCACAAGGGCACCCTCTCCACACCACCACGAGCAAAGACTCACCCCAGGGCCCCAGCGTGGGCCCTTGGTGACCCAGCAGATCTCGGTGTGGCAGACGGTGCAGCGGATCCAGTCGCAGCCGTCCTTCTTCTGTACCACGATCTGGCACTGGGGGCAGCGCATGGCCTCGCCCTGCTGCAGCATCACCTGGAGTGGGGCAGGTGCTGGCCCTGGGGCGGGGCTGGGGCAGTCACCCAGCCTGGCCCCTCCCCATGGCAGGGAGAAGGTGGTGACCCTCTAGAGCTGTGGAGTCTCTCCTGTGTGGCTCTGCCAGGCCAGGCTCCATCCAGCAACCCCCTCTTCATTCCTGTGGTCTCCACCCTCCACCCAGACGCTCTTCCTGACATGACCATTCGGCCTAAGTCCCACCTCCGGATGGGAGTGACAGCCAGAAGGGAGGTCAGAGCCTCCAGGGATGTGTGAGCACAGCCCTTACTGGGAAGCCCCCAGCCCCCACCTGGATCCCAGAACTTAAAATCCCTAGGCCTCGGCCCTGTCCCAGCCTCACCTTCAGCATCTCTGTCGTCTGCCGGGCAGCCACATCGTTCTGAGCCCGCAGGGCCAGGTCCTCCTGATACTCCTTGCAGTTCATCTGCTCATGGATGGCCTGTAGCGGGTGAGGGACTCAAGGTAAGAAGGTTCCTCAGGGGGTTAAGAAGCTGGGAGAGGTGAGGTGCAGGGCAGGAGTCCACAAAGGCACTTAATGCCTCTAGGTGTAGTCACTGGCAGGACCTCACTTTGTAATGCATAAGCCATTTTACAGAAGAGGATATTGGCGCCAGGGAGGTGAAGTCAAGGTCATCACATATGCTAACAGCAAAATATACCTCAGCCTCCTGAGTAGCTGGGACCACTGACATGTGCTGCCACACCCAGCTTATTTAAGTTCTGATGGGCACAGAAATCCCTTATACCCCTAGGGTGAGACCCTGCATCCCTAACAAGGGCCTGCCCGGGGTTACAGGCCCAATGACCCCAGACTGAGCTTGCTCAGGCTGAGTCTGAGACCAGGCTCCAGACCTGTTTACCGGCTCCTCACCTTCAACTTTTGAGATGAAGCGGCGGGGACAGGCCTGGGGGAAGGATCAGGTAGGGCTGTCTAGGTTTGGGGTCAGCACTCAGTTGAGGACACGGGTGGAGACGTGGTATAGGGCCAGGGTCAGGCCTTAGTCTGTCACAGATTCAGTCAGAAGCCAGGGTCAGAGCTCGGTTCAGGGTCTGAGCTGAATATGGGACCACCTTAAGTGACAAGTGCAGGGTCAGGTTTGGTCAGAGGCCAAGTCTATGGACTTGGATGGGATCAGGGCTCAATGTGGGACTGGGATTCAGTCTGTGACTGGGGTCAGACTGGCCCAGGGTCGGGGCTCCATTGTGAACCAGGGCTGCCTAGGTTTGAGGCTCCATCTGGGGCTGGGGCTGGGACTCCGTCTGTGGGGCCAGGGCTCAGTTCAGGCTCAAGCCACACTCTCCCACTGACATGTAGCTCTAAGTCATGACCAGCAGGCCAGTGTCACAGCTCCCTTCCCAGGAGAACACGCACTGCAGTGTGGTGAGCTCCAGGCAAGATGACAGTGACTAGGTGGGGGGAGTCCCTGCAGGCCCCACCTTGCAGAGCAGGCAGTTGACGTGGAAACACACAGGGCAGGTGAACTCATTGACATCATCCTCAAAGAAGCACCATCCCTTGCAATCTGGGGTCTTGCAATGGTAGCTGAAGGCACTGCGGTTTTCAGCAATGGAGATGCCCAGGTCTAGAAATCGCTGGTAATCCTCAGGGGTCAGGAGCTGCCAACACACCATGTCCTTGCTGCTCAGGATTCAGAACACCTGACATATGACCCTTGACCACTAAATACCCTCCAGAAAGCCCCCAGCCCAGAAACTCCAACCCAGCCCCAGGCTCTTTTCTTCATGTAATCCTCATAGTGTTGAAAAACTCCATTCAAAGAGTGGATTTTAGGCCAGGTGTGGTGGCTTACACTTGTAATCCCAGCACTTTGGGAGGTCAGTCAAGGCAGGAGGATTCCTTGAGGCCAAGAGTTTCAGACCAGCCTGAGAAATACAGTGAGACCTCATCTCTACCAAAAAATTTTTTTAAAAAATAAAATAACCAGGTGTGGTGCTCACACCTGTAGTCCCAGCTGCTTGGGAGGCTGGGTTGTGAGGATCGCTTGAGCCCAGAAGGTCAAGGATGCAGTGAGCCATGACTGATGCACTGCACTCCAACCTGGGTGACAGAATGAAATCCTAGCTAAAAAAAAAAAAAAAAAAAAAAAAAAAAGGAAAAGAAAAGTAAAAAGAAAGTGAAAGAAAGTGGGGGGAATTTCTAAAAGTTCTGGAGGTGGATGGTGGTGATGGTTGCACAACAGTGTGAATGTACTTAATGCCACTGAACTGTATACTAAAAACTGGTTAAAATGGTAAATGTTATGTCTATTTTCTCACAATAAAGAAAAGAACATAAATAATAAGCAATGTTGGGAAAGACATGATTAAACTAGTATCCTATAAAGAAAACGTGGCACATATATACAATGGAGTACTATTCGGCCACAAAAAAGAATGCAATCCTGCCATTTACAGCAACATGGAAGAACTGGAGGTCATTATGTTAAATGAAATAAGCCAGGCACAGACAAACAAACATTACATGTTCTCACTTATTTGCAGGTGCTAAAAATCGAAACAACTGAACTAATGAGGACAGACAGTAAAAGGATGCTTACCAGAGGCTGCAAAGGGTAGTGAGGCGTGGCAGGGGAGTGGGGATGGCAAATTGGTACAAAAAAATAGAGTAAGACCTAGTATTTGATAGCACAACAGACTGTAGCCAATAATTTAATTGTACATTTTATAATAACTAAGAGAGGTTAACTGGATTGTCTGTAACACAAAGGATAAATGCTTGAGGGGATGGATTCCCCATTCTCCATGATGTGATTATTACGCATTGCATGCCTGTATCAAAGTATTTCATGTACCCCAGAAATATATACACCAACTATGTACCCGCAAAAATAAAAAATAAAAATTAAACAAACTAGTAAGCTAGTACGTAGCACTGAGAAAGCAATGTGGCAATAACGTTTCAACCATCCCAAACTTTTCTGACCCTTTGGTACCCATCCCACTTCTTTAACTTTATCCCAAGAAAATAATATATAAGATGCACCAGCCAGGAATGATGGATCACGCCTGTAATCTGAACACTCTGGGAGGCCGAGGCGGGCGCATCACGAGGTCAGGAGTTTAAGACTAGCTTGGCCAACATAGTGAAACCCCATCTCTACTAAAAATACAAAAATTAGCTGGGTGTGGTGGCATCTGCCTGTAGTCCCAGCTACTCGGGAGGCTGAGGCAGGAGAATCGTTTGAACCCGGGAGGTGGAGGTTGCAGTGAGCCAAGATCACACCAATGTACTCCAGCTTAGGCAACAGAGTGAGACTTCGTCTCAAAAAAAAAAAAAAAAAAGAATACACCATGCAAAACATTCCTTGAAGGAGTATTACAAACTGAGAAACTAGAACTAAGAGGTATAAACAGTATATGTGCTATTGAGATTTGTAATAATCTTTAGAAAAATTCTATAGCAAAATAACAAAAGCTAAAGCGATTGTATCCATGCTGGTTACAATGAGGCAGAAATCATGCCTATGTTATATGTAACAGTGGTTGGTGGTTACGAGAGTTACATTTGTTAAAATTTACCTGACTGCATACTTACAATGAGTACATTTTATTGTGTGCAAAGTATACTTAAGTAAAGTTGACTTAAAAAATCATATCTGGCTGGGCACGGTGGCTCACGCCTGTAATCCTAGCACTTTGGGAGGCCGAGGTGGGTGGATCACCTGAGGTCAGGAGTTCAAGACCAGCCTGGCCAACATGGTGAAAACTCGTCTGTACTGAAAATACAAAAATTAGCTGGGCATGGCGGTGTGCGCCTCTAGTCCCAGCTACTTGGGAGGCTGAGGCAGGAGAATGGCGTGAACCCGGGAGGCGGAGCTTGCAGTGGGCTGAGATCGCGCCATTGCACTCCAGCCTGGATGACAGAGTGAGACTTCATCTCAAAAAGGAAAAAAAAAAAAAATTTGCCCAGAGATACTGAAGGAAATAAGATAAAATGCAATTGGAGGATTTCCTGGGTTTGTGGGTGATTTTCTCTCTGATTTCTGCTCTGGTTCTATGTGGTGAGGCATATTTTTCTGTTTTTGTAAAAACAACCTCCACTACATTACTTGGCTGATCCCTGCCTCCTTCTCTCTGTCACACTTGACCATTTTCTGAGACTCACATCAACTCCAGTGGGCTCCAGGGAAGTTCATGCAGCCCTTTGGCATGAACCTGGCCCCAGCATAATGCCCCTTGGCTGGGGTGGACTCCACAGGGAAACCTCTAAGCAAATGGCTATGGGTGCTGGGGACATATGGAATGACTGGTCATGAGGTCTCTCCAGGCCAGAGCGAAGGAGCCTCAGCAACCACCCAGAGACAACAGAGAAAAATGGGGCTGCTCCTGATATCAGAGCTGTGAACTCCCAAAGTTCTACCTCTTCTGCCTCCCCCTTTTCCCCAGGGGCAGAACCTCTTGGGCTCCATAAACACTTGGTGAAGTTGGGAGCATTCTCAGGAGAAATAGGGGCATAGGAGAGAGGCAGGGGGGACAGAAATAAAGAGGAGGTCTGTGTATGTGTTTTGTGGGGATCTCCCATTTGGGCCTCGGCTGCCATGTTTTGGCCTGGGAACCCACAGTGCCCAAGTCTGGGAAGGTCATTTCCCAGCAGTTTGAAAACCATGAATCAAGCCCAACTGTCCACTTTTCAGATAAGGAAATGGAGTCCCACAGAAGGGAAACAACTTGCTCGAGATCACCAGCAGCCAGGCAGAGAACCTGCTAACGAATTCATGAAGAGCGCCAGCGGCAAGCACACACGTATGCAGACACACATAACGCTGTGACAGACTGGCGGAGTGGTGACTCCAATTTGTTTCTGTCTCCCCGATTCCACACTTTTGGGTGGTCCCTTCCCAATGGACTCTGTGCTTGAGCATGGGACTTGCTTTGGCCAATGGGACAGTGTCAAGTGAGAAATGAGCAGACTTAGAAAGTACACATGCACTGGGGCTCCCCATGGCTGCTCTTGGAACCTTGAGACCACCATGACATGAGAAGGCCCGGGCAGCCTGCTGGTGGGTGAGACATTGAAGTGGAAGGAGGCCCCAGTCATCCCAGTCATCACAGATGAGACCATTATAAACCAGGCCACCGCGGCTGACCCACCAGCCAGGCCCAGGTGAAATCAGCGAGGCCCTGCCCAGACCAGAAGAACCATCCAGGTAAGTCCAGCCCAAATTATAGTCATCCCTCGGTATCCAGAGAATTGGTTCCAAGACCCCTGCAGATACCCAAATCCATGGATGCTCAAACCCCTTATATAAAATAGTGCAGTATTTGCATACAACCTACCAACATCCTCCCATACACTTTAAATCATCTGTAGATTATTTATAATACCTAATATAACATAAATGTTATACAAATAGTTTATGCTGTATTGTTTTTTAAATTTGTTTTTTATTGTAATTTTTTTTGTAAGAATATGTTCTATCCACCGTTGCTGAATTCTCCAGTGTGGTACCCACAGATACAGAGGGCCAACTGTCCTAACTTGCAGATTTATGAGCTGAATAAATGACTGTTGTTTTGAGCCTGCAGTGATTTGTTACACAGTAAGCGCTAACAACAACAAAGGCTTACTATGTGACAAGCACTACTCTAAATATATATATATATATTTTCAGACGGAGTTTCGCTCTGGTTGCCCAGGCTGGAGTGCAATGGCGCGATCTCAGTTCACCACAACCTCCGCCTCCGGGGTTCAAGCGATTCCCCTGCCTCAGCCTCCTGAGTAGCTGGGATTACAGGCATGCGCCACCACACCCGGCTAATTTTCTATTTTTAGTAGAGATGGGGTTTCTCCATGTTAGTCAGGCTGATCTCGAATTCCCGACCTCAGGTGATCCACCCGCCTTGGCCTCCCAAAGCGCTGGGATTACAGGAATGAGCCACTGCGCCTGGATGTACTACTATGAATTCTATACACATATCCTCTACTGTAATCTTTGCAATCCTGGAAATAGAAGCTGTAACTCTGACTCTAACAGAGATGAGATAGAGGCATAGAGAGGTTAAATATCTGACTTGTGGTCACACACCCAGGCCACCAGGCTCCAGAGTTCCCTGACTAATTTTTTTTTTCTTTTTTTGAGGCAAGGTCTCACTCTGTTGCCCAGGCTGGAGTGCAGTGGCACAATCACAGCTCACTGCAACCTTACTTCCTAGGCTCAAGCAATCCTCCCACCTCAGCCCACTCATCCCAGACCCCACCCAAGTAGCTAGGACTACAGGCGCATGCCCCCGCGCCTGGCTATTTTTTGAATATTTTTTGCCATGTTGCCCAGGTTGGTCTGGAACTCATGGGTTCAAGCAATCTGCCCACTTCATCCTCCCAAAGTGCTGGGATTACAGGTGTGAGCTGCCACGCCCAGCCGAGTCCCTGATTCTTAACAACTCTGCTGTCCTTCCTTCATAGATGTGGTTTCTTGACTAGCTACTCCCCTCAATTCTTTTTCTGCTTGGGGTCTCAACACCCCACATGGACAAAGCTCTTGAAAAATGTCTGGGGGGCTGAGGATGAATGATCGCTTAAGCCCAGGAGTTTGAGACCAGCTTGGACAACATAGTGAGACCCCATCTCCAAAAAAAAAAAAGAAAGAAAAGAAAGATGTCTGCTGCCTGCTCAGGGCCCAGTTCCTTAGGAGTTGGGACTTGGGGTATGTCTCCCACCCTGAGGCCTTACCGCCTTGATCTCCCTCTCCAGCAGCTTGCCCGAGCACGAGTAGGTGTTGTCAATGAAGGGGCAGGAGACCTCCGCCTCCTGGCTGTTGCGGATGGTGCCCTGCAGGCACTCCCTAGGGGAGGGGAGGGGAAAAGAGTTAGGATCATAGGAACCCCCTTCACTGGGGACTCCATCCCTCACATGGCAAGGCCTGACCCCAGGGGCCTCACTCAGTCACCCCAGGTGGACTTCTCCTCAATATCTCCTTCCTTCCCATCCCTCTCACCAACCCATCACCAAGGCCTCCACCCTGCCTCCATACTGCCGCTCTGATTCTCTGGTCCAGGCCCCACATCCCCCACCTGGGTGACTCCAGGAGCCTCCTCGCTGGGCTCCCTGCATCCATCTGGCCCCTAGAGTCTATCTCAGAACAGCAGCCATGTCTCCCCAGTGACTCCCATCCTACCCAGAACAAATCCCAACTCCTCACTGCTGCTCACGTACCCAACACCTCTCTATCCTGCTCTGATTACCCCCTTCATCCCTCTGCTCCAGCCACCAAGAGACCTCCTCAGTCTCCTCCAACAGGCCAGGCCCACACCCCACACCTACAGCAGGCCTTCCGGTCCCTGCTCTGGGGCTACCTCCTTGGAAGCTTCCAGACCACCCTCTCTGGGAAGGACTCCTGTTGTCTCTTAATGTACTGTATGTAGCATTTGACACAATTCACAAAGACATCAACCAGCGATTATCCGATTCTCATCAGCCTCTCTGCTGGAATGTAAGCTGCAGGAGGCAGGCACGGAGCCTGTCACCCAGGGGCGGCTCCACAAGGGTCCGCTGTGGTGAGCGGGTCTGTGTTCCCCACATTCAGGGGTGGGGGGGCCATGACAGGAGACTCAGAAACTGGCAGATGCCCACAGCGAGGCTGAGAGCAGCGTGGCTGCAGGAGCCCGGGCGGCGAAAGGTAGAGGGGAAGGGAGTCTCCCCCCACGCCTGCGCTCACGTCTAGGCTGCTTCTCTCATGAGCCGTGGGCCTGGGGTAAGGCGCTGGGCCTCTCTTTCCCTCAGGTTCCTCGTCCGCAACATGGGGAGACGGAGCCTACCTCGTAGGTTTTCGCGGGCGTCCAATGAGGTATCAGAGCACAGGGCCCCACCCACGTCCAGCCCTGCGTAATTGGCGGCTTTGATTAAGCTGCATTGCCGGGGGTGGGACTGGGGGCCGCACCTGCAGAAGGTGTGCAGACACTCACGCAGCACCACGGCCTCGCCGGGCGCCAGCACCGAGTAGCACACGGGGCACTCGGCGGGCTCCGTGTTCAGCACCAGGCTCCTCTGGTCCAGCTGGACGTGCTGCAGGTAGTTCCCCTCCTGCTGCTGCTGCTTCCGCTGGGCACACGGGGCGGGGCCACGGGGCGGGTCAGGGCCTCGGGGGCGGGTCAGACCCCGAAGGGGGAAGGGCCAGGGGGCGTGGTCAGGGCTGGGTCAGACCAGCCACAGGCAAAGCTGGGAGCCAGTAGGGATGGGGGATGGGGGACGGGGGTGGGGGATGGGGGTGGGGCTGGGGGATGGGGGGTGGGGGGTGGGGGATGGGCAGGAGCAGGCAGGTTGGGAGGGGCGGGGCTGGGAGTGAGGCCAGGTGGAGGTGGGGAAGCCAAGGGAGGGGAGGCCGGCCAGGTAGCCACGGAAGGCGCCAGGTGAGACAGCAATGGCAGCAAGGTAAGGAAGGGGGCCGGGGTCTGAGTGGTGAGTCAGGTAGCAGGGCAGGGCCCGGGCCAGGGCTGGTGGAGCCACTCAACGTCAGGGGTGGGGAAGTGACGAAGCCGAGGAGCTGAGACGGGAACAGGAGTGGGGTGGCCAGGGGCAGCACCGGGTCCAAGGGGAATGCAGGTGGGGCCAGGGGTGAGATCAGAATGGGGAGCACTCGGGGATCAATGTCTGTGTCATTAGTGCGTGTGTCACGATGGGGGCGGGGTAGGGCTAAGGCGTAGGACCGGGGTCGGGGGTCATCCCCCTAGGGCGCAGCGAGGGTCCAGGCCAGGCTCTCAGGAAGTCAGGGGTGGGCCCAGCCCGAGAGGGAAGAGGTCAGGAGTAGGAGAGTCCAGGGTGAGGTCACGGCGAGGTGGAGCAGGCTTAGGTCACAGACGGGTGGGGGTGAGGTCCGAGCTGAGGTGTGGTCATGGCTAGGGTGCTGGGGTCATGGCTAGGGTGCTGGGGTCATGGCCAGCCATACTCGTGTGGTGTGTCAAAGCTGGGGATGGAGCCACAGCCCACGTGGGAGTGGGGCATGTGAACCTGGATGTGCGCCACAGCCAGGGAGCGGGTCTCAGCCACAGGGTGACCTTTGAGAGAGGGCAGGTCACAGCCAGGTGCAGGGTCACAGCCAGGTGCAGGGTCACTGCCAGCAGCATGGTTGGGAGGGGCAAGGCAGTAACGGAGAGGCGCGGCAGTGCGCAGGTGTCTCCCTTCCTGGCCTACACCTCCCCCGTGCGGTCTGCAGGTGTCTGTCCAGGGACTTTCCCGCCCACCTGCTGGTACTGACGCAGCGCCTCCTCCTCGCCCGCCAGGCGCGCTCGCTCCTCCTCGTCGGGCTGGTATGAGGCGGGGACCTGGTAGGCCTCGGGGCGCGCCCGGCAGCACATCTCACAGCCAGGCCGCGTGGGCTTGTTGATGAAGGTGCACCCGGGGCACTGCCAGCCCACCTGGGAGCAGAGGGTGCTGTGAGCCCGACTGGGCAGGGTGAGGCAAGGGAGGGGCACAGAAGAGGATACTGAGGCCAAGGACAGCTTACCGGTGGGGGCTCAGGCACTGCATCTGGCTGCCCCCGTCCGGGTTCCTGGGGGACCCCGGGCTTTGGGGGGCCTGGCTCCAGAGGGCCCCGCGGCTGCAGCGTGAGGTCCTTGAAGCCCAGATCTGTGGAGGAGGGTTAAAGGGTGGTGGTTCCACGCGGCCCACTTGGTCCACACCCATGGGGGTGGGTCTCCCTGAGCCAGCCAGGCAGACCCTCCCCCTATCCTCTCCCTCCTCCCTGGGGGTACCTCCAGCTTCCATCTGGCCAAGTGGGCATCCTGGCTCCCCCAGGGTCAGGGTCCCTATTCCACCGATAAATGCTTCTATGTCCTTTGAGCTTCAAAACCCAGCACAACACCAGCCCTTCCGTGCCTCCTGAAGGATGCACCAAGAGGGACCCAAGAGCACCGCTGAGGCGGTCCTGCCAAAACAGTGACTTGATCCACTCCGGAGGAAACATCAGCCCCCAACCCCCGCCAAAAAAAAGAAACTGGCCTGGACTCTTTGAAAGGGACTGAGACATGACAGCAGAATGCCAAGTCTTTTGCTATAAATGACAATAGTGGGACAACTGGTAAAATCTGAGTAAGATCTGTAGACTGGATACCAGTACTGTATCAGCGTTAGTTTCCTGAGTTGGATTGTTATACCCAGTAATGTAAGAAAATGACCTTTCTTTTCAAGGAAATGCACACTGAATTATTTAGGGGAAAGAGACATCATGTCTGCAACTTACTCTCAAAATGGTTCAGAAAAAAAATAATTTTATATAGAAAGAGAATGATAAAAGAAAGCAAATGTGGGTTGGGCGTGGTGGCTCACGCCTGTAATCCCAGCACTTTGGGAGGCCGAGGCGGGCGGATCACAAAGTCAGGAGATCGAGACCATCCTGGCTAACACGGTGAAACCCCGTCTCTACTAAAAATATAAAAAATTAGCCGGGCGTGGTGGCGGGCGCCTGTAGTCCCAGCTACTCCGGAGGCTGAGGCAGGAGAATGGCGTGAACCCGGGAGTCGGAGCTTGCAGTGAGCCGAGATTGTGCCACTGCACTCCAGCCTGGGCGACAGAGCGAGACTCCGTCTCAAAAAAAAAAAGAAAGCACATGTGGTAAAACCCACATGAAAGGTACATGGGAATTCTTTATGTACTACTTTGTAAAATTTAGCAACTTTTCTGTAGGTCTGAAACATTTCAGAAGTTAAAAATTAAGAATAAACACTAGTTATCACGATCACTGTCATACCCAATTTATGATTTTAGCAAACTGGGCAGCAGATAGGAGCAACCTTGCCCAAGGTCACACAGCTGGGAATGCCGGAGCCTGGACGGAGTCCACCCCTCCCCGTGCCAGCTGTTCTCATGATGGGTCCCTGAAATGCTCCCTCCCATGTGTCTTAGGTCCTCTCTTCCCCACTTGGATAGGGTCCTCTGGGTGAGTCCCTGACTAAAAACCCAGGGGCTCTGCCCCTGCTTGCCCTATGCCCTCAAGTGAGTCCAGGGCCCCCGCTGGGTCCGGCGGTGCTCAGGGCAGAGCCTCACCTTCCAGCATCCGCAGCTGCCGCTCCCGCTGCAGCTCCTGAGGGTTGAGGGAGGTGTTGCGGGCTGACAGCAGATAGAGGTAGGCACTGTCCCCATTCTGCCGCACCCCATGGGAGTGCAGGGTCTCCTGGTCTCGTGCCAGCCGCTGCCCAATCACCCACTGCTGCAAGACTGGTGGGAAGCCATAGTCCAGAAAAACCTGGTGGGGGCAAAGAGAGGGAGAGTGGGAAGGGAGGGCCAGAGGAGAGAGAGGAAGCAGGAGTGAAAGGGAGAGCCTTCACCCCAGTGTCGCCCTCCGCCTCCTCACTCACCATGTCCTTGAGAGACGCCACTGTCATATCAGGGCGCACTGTGAGCCAGATGGTGACGGTGTGCATCTGAGCATCCTCCACGCTCACCCACAGCCTGCAGAGAACAGCAGGGGCTCAGCATGGGCTCTGGCCAGGGGTCCAGCCTCAGCCACCGGCTACAGACATGTACATATTTGCACACAGGCACATGGCCATGCACACACACACACACACACACACACACAAACCCCAGTCTGGGGTAGGCCCCACCCATGCTTCTTCCTTTATTAGAACCCACCAGTTAGGCCCCTCCAATGGCTCCACGCTACTCTTAGAATCAACTCGTGGCAGCACACGAGGGCCTCCATGATCTGGCACCTCCCTGACCTCTCCAACCTCTTCTGTCTTCTCTCCCCTGCTCCTTAGTGAAACCACCAGAAGTTGTTGTTAACTACGTGCTAAGACTATTTAATGCACTTCATGTGTATTAACTCATTTAATCCTCTCAACCAACCCATCAGACAGGTACTGCTGTATCCCTGTTTTACAGATAAAAATGTGAGGCACAGATAGGTTCCAGTGACTCTGCCAAACTAAGCAACTAATAACTGTTAGAGGCAGGATTCATTTGTATGTCTTGATTTAATTTTAAGACACAGGCTCTCTTTCTGTGGCCCAGGCTGGAGTGCAGTAGTGCTACCTTGGCTCACTGCAGTATCAACCTCCTGGGCTCTTCCCATCTCAGCCTCCCAAGTAGCTGGGACCACAGGCTCATGCCACCATGCCTGGCTAATTTTTTAAGTTTTTGTAGAGACAGGGTCTCACTATGTTGCCAAAGCTGGTCTTGAACTCTTGGCCTCAAGTGATCCTCCTGCCTTGGCCTCCCGAAGTGGGATTACAGGAGTAAGCCACTGTGTTCAGCCAGAGGCAGGATTTAAATCTACATGGTATTATTCCAGAGAAAGTGGTTTTAACTTTCTTGAGGATCCTCCAACATGTTTGGAAAATCAAAAGCATGAAAAGATGAAAAAACAGAACCGACCCCAAAGGAAACAGAGATCATTTAGGGTATGGAACAATAAGCAACAGTGAAGTCTAACTAGTACCTTCAGAGAGATTTGGGAAAACACTGCATTCAGAAAGCAAGGAAAGGCATGAAGCAACCAAAAAATGAGGAAGAGTTCCTGCACATTAAAAGTGACTGCTGAATCCCAGCACTTTGGGAGGCCGAGGTGGGTGGATCACGAGGTCAGGAGATCGAGACCATCCTGGCTAACACGGTGAAAACCCGTCTCTACTAAAAATACAAAAAAAAAAATTAGCCAGGCACGGTGGCGGGCGCCTGTAGTCCCAGCTACTCAGGAGATTGAGGCAGGAGAATGGTGTGAACCCGGGAGGCGGACCGTGCAGTGAGCCAAGATTGCGCCACCGCACTCCAGCCTGGGCAACAGAGTGAAACTCTGTCTCAAAAAAAAAAAAAAAAAAAGTGACTGCTGACTAATTGAAACTTTATCTCTAACTACCAGTTACAGGAAAAACGGGAGATAGTAAATGACACCATGATAGTCTGGGTATTTGTCCCTGCCCAAATCTTACCTTGAACTGTAATCCTCAGTGTTGAAGGTGAGGCCTGGTGGGAGGTGTTTGGGTCATAGGGGCAGCTCCCTCACAGCCTGGTGCTGCGCTCACTGTAGTGACTTCTCGCCATAGTGAGTCCTCGTGAGATCTGGCTGTTGTAAAGTGTGGCACCTCCCCACCAACTCTCTCTCTTGCTCCCTCTCTCACCATGTGAAGTGCCTGCTCCCGCTTCAGTAAAAGTTCACTGAGGCCTCCCCAGAAGCCAAGCAAATGTCAGGACCATGCTTCCTACACCACCTGCAGAACTGAGTCAATTAAACCTCTTTTCTTTACAAATTACCCAGTCTCAGATATTTCTTTGTAGCAATGCTAGAGTGGTCTAATACATACCATGAAGAGGTAATGGATAGATCCAGAATATGGGGAAAATTCTAGAGGTCAAAAGACCAGGTTTCTTAAAAAAAAAACTAGTGGCATAAAAATAGAGGAGAGTAAAAGGGACTTAAGACATAGTAAGAAATGCTACATGTAGATCTTGTTTGGCTCCTGATTTGAAGAAACCAATTGTAAAAAGCACTAATGAAATAGGAAAATGTGAATATAAACAGGGCATTAGCGGATTTTAAGGAATTCTTATTCCTTTTCTAAGGTGTGATAATAGTATTGAGGGGTTTTGTTTGTTTTTGTTTTTTTTGAGACAGGGTCTCACTTCTGTCACCCAGGATGGAGTGTAGTGGCATGATCTTGGCTCACTGCAGCTTCAATCTCCTGGACTGAGGTGACCCTCCCACCTCAGCCTCCTGGGTAGCTGGGACTAGATGGGCGCACCACCATGCCTAGCTAATGTTTTGTAGAGACAAGGTTTCACTATGTTGCCCAGGCTGGTTTTGAACTCATGGGTTCAAGCAGTCCACCTGCCTCAGCCTCCCAAAGTGCTAGGATTACAAGCATCATCCATCGTGCCCCGCCAAGTCCTAATTTTTTGAAGACACATACTAAAGTATTTAAGGATAAAATAATATCTGAAATTTATTTAAAAGCAGTCCAGAAAATGCTCTCAAAATTCTTCAGGTAAACAATTTGAATACCCAGTCAACTATCAATGAATTGACAGAGCAAAATATAGAAATTTTTAAACATGCAAAGACTCTAAAAGTTTACCACATTTTCCACGTGAAAAGTTCTTGAAAAACAAAAATAGATGAGTCTGATACAGGAGAATAGAAGAAAAGTAAAAAATGAAAAGGACTGGATCTTAACCCCAAAATGTTCTTCCAGCAATAAGGGTTTTGAAACATAAAAGTGCATATGGTTTCAACTGCACTAGTTATTCTATAGTGAATAATATTTCCATAATCAAAATACTATAAATCCTTTCTAGTAGTGTTACACTTTTAGAATCAACCTAGAGGCAAAGCATAAAGGCCTTAATTATGTTAGAAAACAAAATTTTTTAAAGCTATAATCTTAACACTATCAACAAAAAAATACAGCTGGAGCTCTCTCATCCAATGTGACATCAGGATCGCTGGTGAACAGCAGAGAATCACAAAAACAGCTGCAGACAAAGCTTAAACACTTAATTTTAACTTACATACTATAAATGCATATTCACTGGCCAGTCTCTAGGTGTACAGCCAATGGCTTTTCTCTCTTTCTTTCTTTGAGACAGGGTTTCACCTTGTCACTCAGGCATGATCATGGCTCACTGCAACCTCAACCACCCAGGGTCTAATAATCCTCTCATCTCAGCCTCTCAAATAGCTGGGACTACAGGTGTGTGCCACCCAGCCTGGCTAATTTTTTTTATTTTTTGCAGAGACAAGGTCTCACTATGTTGCCCAGGCTGGTCTTAAACTCGAGTTCAAGCCATTCTCCTGCCTGAGCCTTCCAAAGTGCTGAGCCGCCATGCCCAGCGTGAGTTTATACCTGCTCATTGGAGTTTCCCAGGGATTTTTCTTTTTTTTTTTTGTATGAACCACATCGATAATCATGATCTATAATTTCTAGTAGCAGCTTCTTTAAAGCGAGCAAGAACTTAGACACACTCCTGAAGCATCAGAGCACAGAGCCCTTCTGGATTTTTACTGTATTTCCTTACTACTGTCTCACCCAAAAGTGTTAATCTTTTTTTTTTTTTTTTTTGGTGATTTGTCTCTTATCTTTTTAAAGCAATCAGCTTATTTTCACAGAAACAACTCTTTCAGCGCTCATGTTTTATTAATTAATGTAATAGCTAAGTAAACTATGTTATTACCAATAACACATACAACAGGTATCATTTGCTAGGAAGCATCGGGTCCATCGATGAGAACCCAACAGCAGGTCTGAGAGGTGCCGGTTGCCCAGAGCCTCTCAAAACTCAGGTTCTGACCCAGCAAGTCTGAGGTGAGACCTGAGATTCCCCCCATGTTGTGGTCCACAGGCCACACTTTAGTAGCAAGATGGTGGCTGACATTGTACATTTTACAAAGGAAACGCCAGTGCCAGTTAGTTAATTCAGGGGATCAAGTGGAAGTCAACTGGGAAAGTGTCCACAATGATACTTCAACAAAAAAAGTAAGGAAAAGGAAAGGTGGAAGATGAGTATGTTAACTTCCTCATTTTTCATAGCAAGGAGTACACAGGTACTGTCTCAAGCAATCATTTCAAGAAGTAGATATCTCAATATTTTGTTTAAAATCAAGTGGCCAATGATCTACAGATTCAATGAAATCCCTACCAAAATTCCCAGTTGTTGTTGTTTTTTTTTTGCAGAAACAGACAAGCTGATCGTAAAATTTATATGGAAATTCAAGAGACTTGCAATAACCAAAACAATATTGAAAAAGAACAAAAGTTGGAGAACTTGTATTTCCTGATTTCAAATACTATGAAGCTATAGTAATTAGTGTGGTACTGGCGTAAGGGCAGATATATATTATAGTTCAATGGTATAGAAATGAGAGTCCAGAAATAAGCACTCACATTTATGGTCAATTAATTTCCAAAAAGGGTTAAGATGATTAAACAGAGGAAAACAGCCTTAACAAATAGTGCCGGCACAACTCAATATCCACGTGCAAAAGAATGAAGCTGGACCCTTACCTCACACCTTATATAAAAATTAAATCAAAATGGACCAAAGACCTAAATGTAAGAGCTAAAACCATAAAATCTTTAGAAGAAAATATAGAGGTAAATCTTCATGACCTTGGATGAGGCAACGATTTCTTAGATATGACACCAAAAGCACAAACAACAAAATAAAACATAGACTAACTGGACATCATCAAAATTTAAAACTTTTGTGGTTCAAAGGATACCATCAACAAAGTGAGAAGACAATCCACAGAATGAGAGAAAATTTTTGCAAATCATGTAGCTGATAAGCTAAAATGAATAAAGTACTTCTAGCTAAAATGAATAAAGTACTCCTACAACTCAATATAAAAACATAAACCCAGCCGGGTGCAGTGGCTCATGCCTGTAATCCCAACACTTTGGAAAGGCCAAGGTGGGTGGATCACCTGAGGTCAGGAGTTCAAGACCAGCCTGGCCAACATGGTAAGACCCGTCTCTACTAAAAATACAAAAATTAGCCAGTGTAGTGGTGGGCACCTGTAATCCAGCTACTCAGGAGGCTGGGGCAGGAGAATCACTTGAACCTGGGAGGCGGAGGTTGCAGTGAGCCGAGATTGCACCATTGCACTCCTGCTTGGGTGACAGAGCGAGACTCCATCTCAAAAAAAAAAAAAGATAAACCCAATTTTAAAATGGGCAAAAGACCTGAATAGGCAAACCTCCAAAGAAAATATGTGCATGAAAAGATGCTTAACATCATTTGTCATCAAATGGTTAGGAAATTGCAAATCAAAACCACAGTGAGATACCTCTTCAAACTTACTAGGATGGCTATAATCAAAAAGATAAACAACAACAAGTATTAGAGATGATGTGGAGAAACTAGAACCCTCATATATGCTGGTGGGAATGTAAAATGGTGCAGCCACTTTGGAAAACTGTCTGGCATTTCTTCAAAAAGTAACATAGAGTTACTGTATGACCCAGCAATTCCACTGCTAGTGTGTATCCAAGAGAAATGAAAACGTGTCCACACAAAAAGTTGGACACAAATGTTCACGGCAGCATTGTTTATAATAGCCAAAAAATAGAAACACCCAAATGTCCATCAACTGATTTAATGAGTAAAGATAATGAGATATGTCTATACAATAGATTATTATTTGGCAATAAAAAGGAATAAAGTTCTGGTTGGGCATGGTGGCTCACACCTGTAATCCCAGCACTTTGAGAGGCTGAGGTGGGAAGACTGCTTAAGCCAGAAGTTCAAGACCAGCCCAGACAACAAAGCAAGACCTTATCTCTACAGACTTTCTAAAAATTAGCCAGGTGTGGCTGGGTGTGGTGGCTCACGCCTGTAGTCCCAGCACATTGGGAGGCATAGGCGGGCGGATCACGAGGTCAGGAGATGGAGACCATCCTGGTTAACACGGCGAAACCCCGTCTCTACTAAAAATACAAAAAATTAGCTGGGCGTGGTGGCGGGCGCCTGTAGTCCCAGCTACTCGGGAAGCTGAGGCAGGAGAATGGCGTGAACCTGGGAGGTGGAGCTTGCAGTGAGCTGAGATCGCGCCACTGCACTCCAGCCTGGGGGACAGAGTGAGACTCCCATCTCAAAGAAAAAAAAAATTAGCCGGGTGTGGTGGTACATGCCAGTAGTCCCAGCTACCTGGGAGGCCAAGGCAGGAGGACTGCTTGAATCCAGGAAGTTGAGGCTGTAGTGAGCGATGATGGCACCACTGCACTTCAACCTAGACAAGAGACCCCATGTCAAAAAAAAAAAGGGGAATGAAGTTGTTAGACATGCTACAACATGGATGAATCTCGAAAACGATCCTAAGTGAAAGAAGCCAGATACAAAAGGCCACATATTGCATGATTCAACTTATATGGAATTTCCAGAAGGTAGATCCCTAGAGATAAAAAGTAGATTAGTGGTTGCCTAAGGTTGGGGAGTTAGGGAAAAGGTAGAGAGATGAGGACTGGCTGCTAATGAGTACCAGGTTTCTTTACAGGATGATGAAAATGTTCTAAAATTGATTGTGGCAATGGTTGCACAACCTTGAATATACTAAAAGCCATTGAACTGTATACTTTAAATGGTCGAACTGTAAGGATAAATAAATAAATAAAACTGTTTTAAGAAAAACCAAATGGGACCCACCAAGAGAACCAAAAATCAGAAACCATAAAACTATTGCCTTACTATCCAGTAATGAAAAAGCAGTCAAAAAATAACGATAGACACTAATGTTTATTATTGAGTGCATAACACGCCAGGCATTGTGCAAAGTGTTTCAGCATTGAGTTTAAGTCTCCTGGAGCACAGACCGACAGTATCCATTCTCTTCCCTTCCCTTACCAAGCGAACCCCTGAATTCTAGCTGAATATCTTGGCTATACAGTCTCCCCTCAAGCTGAACTGTAGCTGTGGGAATCAGTTCTGGTCCACAGGAATTAACGGAAGAAGTGTGTACAATTTTTGAGCTATGCTCTTTAGAAGAGTGTGGAGGGGTGTCTTTCTTCCCTTCCTCCTGTGATGTGATGGCTGGATGGAGCTGGAATGGCCATTTTGCACCATGAGGAATCTGGGAATGAATGGCAGAATGGTGAGAGAAACAATATGAGCCTCTGAGGACTGTCGGGAGCAGAACCTCCCTATCTGGACTCCCTGCCATCAAATTTGTTTACGTCACTGTTCCGTTTTCTTCTGTTGTATAAGGCCTAACATCCTAATACAGTACACCTCCTAACAACCCTATGAGATAGCTACTGTTACGGTCTGATTTTTAAAATGAGGACACACTGAGAGGTGAAGTGACCTGCTCTGTATTTCACAGTTGATTAATGACATAACTAGGGTTAGAAGCCAGGCCTCCTGAAGCCAGAACGTGCCATTAGGAAGAACTGTTCTACAGGCAAGAATATCCTGTCCTGCTGTCCCTTGGGTTCAGGCCAGCCATGCACTCCTCACCTGATGTCCTGCGTTGGGGAGACCTCAGGCTTCAGTTGCACACTCAGGGGCACCCGTTGCTCTGCCAGCCAGATGGCACACTTCATTGCCACCTGTTCATCCCCGCCCGCCACTGCTCGGGTGAGGCTCAGGGCCATTTCCTCTGCTGAAAGCCAGTACAGCAGGAGCCAGTTAGCACAGGGTTTATTTTCAGGAGCTGAGAGTAATGGGGTAGGAAAGGAGGCGATCCTTTGTGTGTGCTGCTTTCTCTGTCTTCCTGGTGAACTCCTACGTATCCTTCAGCACCCAGACTAAAAGTCCCTTTCTCCGGGAGGGGTTCTCTAATATTCCCCACTCCTCCTCACACTAGGCTCATTTGGTTGTTTGTCCTTCCCATTCCCAGGGTCCCTCATATTTCTATTCATTTATCCAACAAGCAGTTATTGAGCTTCTACTGTGTGCCACCCACTGTCCCAGGAACTGGAATCCCACAGAGATTTATAAACAGGGCCCCTCTCCTTATGGATCTCCCTGCCCAGTGGGGAGACAATGAACAAGTTTAACAAGAAAAAAAAAAAAAGTCAGATTGCGATCCTTGCTGGCAGGGAAATAAACAGGTTAAGGAGACCAGGGGAGGCCTCTGGGAGGGGGTAACACTGAAGCTAAGACCTGAAGGAGGAGAAGCTGCACGTGTCAAGCTCCAGTGGGGAAGAGTGGTCCAGGTGGAAGGAAGAGTAAGGGCCTTGGCCAAAAAATGGTTGGATGAGAACCGAAGGAAGCCAGTGGGGCTCCAGTAGAGTGAGCATGGCGGGGTGACTGAGGACAGATATCCTGTGGGCCACCCAGGGCCTCTGGGTTTTGTTTGGAGAACACAGAGGGGCATGGGAGGGTTTCCAGCAAGGCAGTGACTGACTTCCGTTCTACAACCCTAGGTGCAGGGGACAAGAGAAGAGGCAAGTACCCCTGCTTCTCAGGTCAACTGACGTCTGTCTCCCACCAGCCCAGGAGGTCTCCAAGTTCAATGCCCTGTGTCCTCTGCGAGTCCCCTAGCCCCATCTCAGCACAGAGCCAGCCCAAGGAGTTCTCAGGGCCCCAAGATGGCTCTGGAAGCCAGCAGGTACCAAAGGAGGAAACTGATGGGGAGGAGGGTAGAGGGAGGGCAGGCTAAAGCCCCCTCTCCAAGGCCCTTCTGGCCAGGGGCAAGGCCAGGTCCTGCGGGGCCCACTTCCCACCGGAAGTTCCCCAGCCACCTCCAGCCTGTGCCCACCTTTCTTGGTCTTCTCGTCCATCTGGCGTGGCTGTGCCCATCCCCCTGGGGGGGACCGTGCCTCCTGGGAAATGCTACCTCCGGGTCGCCTGGGAGAGGCGGGAGACCAGGAGCAACTCAGCCAGGCCGTGTGGCCTCCGGCGCGGCCCAAGCCCTGTGTGTGCCTCGCTGTCCCCGCGGCAGTCGGGAAGCATCACACTGCCCGGTGACCAGGCCGGGATCCTGCGTGGGGCGGTGAGAGGGCAGCGGGCGCCGAGACAGGTCCGCACTGGGCGCAGGAGGAAACGGGACCAGCCGAGGTGGGAAGAAGCGGGGAAAGGACGCCCGGACACCACCCAGCCGGGGCGTTCCAAGTCCCGGAGGACCCCCACTTGCGGGAGCGCCCCTGGCGTCCCGGGTTTCAAGGCAAAGCCCTCTCTCCTCCCGGGAGGCCCCAGTTCTTCGCAAGGGGAGCGGCTTCGGCGGAAGAGAAAGTGAAAGTGGCGGCCCCGGAAGTGGGGCGGGACTGGGAGGGGGGGCCGGAAAAATTGTCGCCTCATCCGGGACCTCCACTGCCCGGCTACCCGGCGGCGGCGGACGCCGAGTGCGGGGTCCCAGCGGTCCCGGCGCTCCTGTTTGGGGCGACCCCACCCCGTCCTCCGGGGCTGATCGCGGGTCCCCGGACTCCCGCCCGGGTCACCCTGCGGGCCGCATCGCAGAGCCGCGGGAAGGAGCTGGGCCGCAGGCGGGGTGGGCGGGGCCGGGGCGGGGCCGGGGGCGGGGCCGGGGGGGCCGGGGGCTGGGGGCGGGGCCGGGGTGGGCCGGGGGCCGGGGCCGGGGCCGGGGGCGGGGCCGGGGGCAGGAGCAGGAGCCTGAGCAGGAGTCGGCGCCGGAGCCGGGGCTGGAGGGCGGCGGGATCCACAGCGTCGAGCCGCTGGGGACGGGTTAGGAGCGCGCCCTGCGAGCCCGGCGCCTGCTCACCCAAGCCTCAGGCATACCTCGGGGCAGGCCCGGTCCTTGGCCCCGTTTGCACATGAATAAACGAAGGCTCTGTTTGTTGATGACCTGTCCAAGGCCACTCAGCCGAGGTTTGAATCCAGGCCTGGCAGGCTCAGGAACCCGCCCTTACCCAGATCCGACGCTGCCTCTCAGCGGTCACCGTCTGTCTTTTCGTTGAGCTATTGGTGAAGTTTGCATTCGTCTGCCTCATGCGCCGCTTTAATTTTTCTCCCGTTCCTCGTCCCATCGATCAGCAGATCCTGCGGGCTCCACTTGCAGAATCTCATCCCTCACCTCCTCCGGCCCCATCCCGCTCCAGCTCCATCAGTGCTCCATCATCTCAGGGGTCTTGAACCAGCCTCCTCCTGGGCCTCCTTGCTTCTCTTTTTGCCCCCTACCGTCCATTTCCACCTAGCTGCCGGAGAGTCCTGTTAAAATGTAAATCAAACCCATGCCACTCCCCGACCCAAGTACTCCCATCTCACTTAAAGCAAAATCCGAGATCTGTCCCAGGGCTCGCAAATTGCCTCCCGATCTCTGTCTTCGTAGCTGACTGCCCTGCCCCTGCCTCATTCCACTCAAGTCCCATTGACCTGCTGGGTCCTGGAGTAAGTCAGACACACTCCCGCCCTAAGGCCTTTGCACCTGCCATAACCCAAACGTCTGCATGGCTCCCTCCTTCCCTTTATTTTGGTCTTTACCCAAAAATCTTCCCTAGTTACTCCATCTGAAATTTCACAGACACACGTATCCAGCATTTCACATCCGCTTTCCTGGCTTCATTTTTTCTTCTCAGCATCTATTACTGTCTAACGGAGCATGTTTTACTTATTTATGTTATTCTGGGTCTGTTTTCCTCTCCTAGAGGGCAGGGACTTTGGTTTGTTTTGCTCACTGCTGTGTTCCTGGTGTCTAGAACAGTTCCAAACACATAATGGAGGCTCCATATGTTGAATGAAGGAATGAACCTCAGACCTTCATCTGGGATAATTTTTCTTTTGCCGGAAACACATCCCTTTAGACAATGTTTCTTAACTTTGGCTGTACATTTGAATGGCCTGGGGAAGCCTTTTTTTTTTTTTTTTTTTTTTTTGAGATGGAGTTTCACTCTTGTTGCCCAGGCTGGAGTGCAGTGGCGTGATCATGGCTCACTACAGCCTCCAACTCCTGGGCTCAGCTTCCCGAGTAGCTGCAAACCACGGGCACGTGCCACCACAGCTGGCTAATTTTTGTAGAGACAGGGTTTGGTCATGTTGCCCAGGCTGGTCTTGAACTCCTGGGCTCAAATGATCTGCCCACCTCGGCCTCCCAAAATGCTGGGAAATGGTTGCTGTTGAGATATCATCACCTGTCAATCTAACTGCTGTTCTTTTTATAAACAGCTTTATTGAGATATCATCACCTGTCAATCTAACTGCTGTTCTTTTTATAAACAGCTTTATTGAGATATAATTTATATGCCATAAAATCCACCCACCTAAAATATACAATTCAATAGTTTTTAGTAACATTTACAGAATTGTACACCCATCATCACAATCAAATTTTAGGACATTTTTGGCTGAGCATGGTGGCTCACACCTACAATCCCAGCACTTTGAGAGGCCGAGGTGGGCGGATCACTTGAGGTCAGGAGTTCGAGACCAGCCTGGCCAACATGGTGAAACCCTGTCTCTACTAAAAATACAAAAATTAGCCAGGTGTGGTGGCGGACATCTGTAATCCTAGCTACTGCAGAGCCTGAGGCATGAGAATGGCTTGAACCTGGGAGGCAGAGGTTGCAGTGAGCTGAGATCGCACCGTTGTACTCCAGCCTGCGTGATAGAGCGAGACTCTGTCTCAGACCAAAAAAAAAAAAAGAAAGAAAGAACATTCTTATCACCCCAAAATAGACCTGTACTCATTAGCAGACATTCCCTGTTTCCCATCCTCCAACTGACAGCACTAATATACTTTATGTCTCTATAGACTTTCCTCTTCTTGATATTTTATAGAAATTAGATCTTACTGATGGGCCACAGTGGCTCATGCCAGTAATCCCAGCACTTGGGGAGGCCAAGCCAGGTGGATCGCTTGAGCCCAGGAATTCAAGACCAGCCTGGGCAACATGGTGAAACCCCATCTCTACAAAAAATACAAAAATTAGCCGAGTGTGATGGCGTGCACCTGTAGAGCAGTGATCGTCCCACTGCACTCCAGCCTGGGTGACAGAGTGAGACCCTGTCTCAAAAAGAAAATTAGATTTTGACAATATGTGAACCTTTGTGACTGGCTTCTTTCACTTGGCATAACTTTGGGGTTTTTCTTGACATAACGTTTTTGAGGTTTATCCATGTTGTAGTACTGGTTTTTTGTTTGTTTTTTGTTGTTGTTGTTTTGGGGTTTTTTTGTTTTGTTTTGTTTTTTGTTTTTAGAATCTCTGATTCTTTTCCTCTGAGTGCTTTTAAGAGTTTTTTAAAAAAAATCTTTGGCTTTTTGCACTTTTACTATGATGTGTCTATGTGTAAAATTTATGGAGTTTCTTGAATCTGTGATTGGTGTCTGATTTCTGTCTCACTAATTCCCTCTTTAGCCATATCTAGTTTGCTGTTTAGCCCATCTTTTAAATTTAATTTGTGTGTGTGTGTGTGTGTGTGTGTGTGTGTGACAGAGTTTCACTCTTGTTGCCCAGGCTGGAGTGCAAATGGCACGATCTTAGCTCACTGCAACCTCTGCCTCCCGGGTTCAGGTGATTCTCCTGCCTCAGCCTCCTGAGTAGCTGGGATTACAGGTGTCTGCCACCACTCCTGGCTAATTTTTTGTATTTTTAGTAGAGACAGGGTTTCACCATGTTGGCCAGGCTGGTCTCGAACTCCTGACCTCAAGTGATCCACCCACTTCGGCTTCCCAAAGTGCTGGGATTACAGGTGTGAGCCACTGTGCCTGGCCTAAAAATTTTGATTATTGTATTATTTTATTTTAGAAGTTCTGTTAGGTTATTTTAAAATTTGTTGTCATGTGATATAATTTTCTATACTTTGGCAATGTTTCTAGGTTATTTATTTATTTAAACGCAGTAAACTTTTTTTTTTTTTAGACAGAGTTTCGCTCTTGTTGCCCAGGCTGGAGTGAGATGGTGCGATCTCAGCTCACTGCAACCTCTCCCTCCCGGGTACAAGCGATTCTCCTACCTCAGCCTCCTGAAGTACCTGGGATTACAGGAGCCTGCCACCAGGCCCAGCTAATTTTTTTGTATTTTTATTTGAGACGGGGTTTCCCCATGTTGGTCAGGCTGGTCTTGAACTCTTGACCTCAGGTGATCCATGCGCCTTGGCCTCCCAAAGTGCTGGGATTACAGGCATGAGCCCCCGTGCCCGGCCAACATTTTGTTTTATAATCTGCGTCTGATAATACTGATATACAAACTCTGGGCATATTTGTTTCTATCTGTTTTCGCTCCTGTTGTCTTGTTTTCTCCTGATGACCCTGCTGATTTATTATGGTCATGTACCATCAGCCCTGAGTTACCTGCATATATTTATATTGGGTGCAGCTATATTGTTTCAGGTTTTCTGGTCTCAGCCTTGGCCCTTCAGGGGAAGAGCTGGCATTCAACTTGAACACCTTCACCTCAGTGGGTAGACTCTAGTCATTCAAACTTGGGTTCCAATCTCAGTGCTACAGTTCACTATCTGTGTGACCCTGGACAAAGATTCCCCCTATCTGGGCCTCAGTTTCTTTCTCTGTTCAATGGTAATTATGATGGCTCCTCCCACATAGGCTGTTGTGAGAATCTGTACAAGTTATTAATTATTGATATGTGGCAAATTTCCCAAAATTAATTGCTTAAAAAAGCAATCAACATGTATGCTATCACATAGTTTCTGTGGGTTAGGAACTGGGGAGCAGCTACATAGATGGTTCTGGCTCAGGGTCACTCATGAGGTTGTAGTTAAGATGTCGGCTGGGGCTGCAGTCATCTGAAGGCTTGACTGGGGCTGGAGGATTGACTCAAGAAAGCTCTTTTATGTGCCTGGGTGGTGCTGGTTATTTGCAGAATGCCTACGATCCTCACCACATGTAAGTTTCCACAGGGGTAATTGAGTGTCCTCGCAACATGGCAGCTGGCTGTCCCCAGAGCAGATGATCCAGAAGAGCAAGGCAGAAGCCATAACATATTTTATGACCTAATCTTAAAAGTCATACTTTCTCATTTCACAATATTGTATTCATTACACTGGTCAGCCCAGCTTAGGATGGGAGGAAACTGTACAAAGGCGTGAATAGCAGCTGGTGAAGGTCACTGGGGACCATTTGGCTGTCACATATAAAGTGAGATGATCCAGGTAAAGCACTCAAAGCCATGTCTGGCATGTGCTATGTGTTCATCCCAATCAGTGTCCTGGCTTTGCTCTAGGCAGGTGGAATCTGTACAGGAACAACTTTTATTCAGTCATTCCACAAACATTTATTGAGCACTCCTGTGTACCAGGCACTGTTCTAGGAACTGGGTGAACAGTTATAAACAAAACATAGTCCCTGGCATTATAAAGCTCAAAAAAAACATAAAATACACTGCCTGGTGGTGCTCAGTGCTATGAAGAACCATAAAGCCAGGTAAGAGAAGAGAGAACGATGAGGAAATGAGGCCTGGGAGTCTTTCTCCTTGGATCTAGTACAACTGTAGTGGTGGCTTAGATTCTGACCTCTGATAAAGCCCTCCCTCCCCTGTGAGCGCATCCTGGCGTCACAGGCGTGTAAAATGTATACCCATTTTACACCAAGGCTAAAGTCAAACTAGTCCAGAGAAGAGCTGAAATAAGATTTGAGTCCCCAAGGAGTCCGGATTTCTTCAAATACAGAGGTTCTCCAACTTGGAGGCCCAGCAGCATCACCCAGGGAGCTTGTTAAGATGCAGAAGCCCAGATGTTCTGACTCTCTAGGTTGGGGGAGGATCCAGGGCTCTGCATTTTAAACAAGCACCCCAGGGATGGATGCAGGAGATCAACCAATCACATTTGAGAAATGTTCTGGTTGTGGGTAGTGGTCATACCTGTAACCCCAGTGCTTTGGGAGGCCAAGGCAGGAGGATCATTTGAGGCCAGGCATTCAAGACCAGCCTGGGCAAAATAGTGAGGCCCCTGTCTCTACAAAACAATTTTTTAAAAAACTAGCTAGGCGTGGTGGCACTCCCAGCTACTCAGGAAGCTGAGGTTGGGGGACAGCTTGAGCCCAGGTGTTCAAGGCTGCAGCGAGCCATGATCACACCACTGTACTCCAGCCTGGGTGACAGAGTGAGACCCTGTCTTTTTTTTTTTTTTTTTTTTTTTTTTTTTTTTTTTTTGAGATGGAGTTTCACTCTTGTCACCCAGGCTGGAGTGCAATGGTGCGACCTTGGCTCATTGCAACCTCCACCTCCCGACCCTGTCTTTTTTAAAAAAGAAACCCTGTTCTGAGGGCTTAGTGGCCAGGCAGGGCTCTAGGTCCAGCCCCAAGTGACGGACAGGGCTTAGCCATGCAGAGAGAAGGGGAACAGCTGGAGATCCAGAGACACCAAGCAATTTACTCAGGGGCATACAACCTGTAGGGAAAGTTTTAGGTGCACCTCATCTTATTTGATCAAATATATCTCATGTTGTACAGTAGTTCCCCACCCCCACCCCCATGATCTGTGGTTTTGCTTTCTGCAATGTCAGTTACCTGCAGCCAACCACATGATGAAATCTCATGCAATCCTGCACTATTCCACGTAGGATGTGAATCATCCCTTTTGCACTGTATCCATATTGTAGACATTACCCACGGTTAATCATTAACATCATCTGCTCCTGACATCCAATCATGGACATTGTCACGGCTTCATGATCCTGGATCACCCAAAGGAGATGATTCTCCTTCTGACGTATCATCAGGTGAGTAGTAGTCTAACGCTAGATCACAATGCCCATGTCATTCATTTACCTTCATCTCATCATGTAGGCATTTTATTATCTCCCATCATCACAAGAAGGGTGAGTACAGTACAATAGGACATTTTGAGGGAGAGACCACATTCGCATAACTTTTATTACAACATACTGTTATAACTGTTCTATTTATTGTTAACTGTTTGTTTTTTTTGTTTTTTTTTTTTTTTTGAGGTGGAGTCTCGCTCTGTCACCAGGCTGGAGTGCAGTGGCGCGATCTCAGCTCACTGCAACCTCCGCCTCCCGGGTTCAAATGATTCTCCTGCCTCAGCCTCCCAAGTAGCTGGGATTACAGGCATGCGCCACTACACCCAGATAATTTTTGTATTTTTAGTAGAGACGGAGTTTCACCATGTTGGTCATGATGGTCTCGATCTCTTGACCTCGTGATCCGCCCACCTCGGCCTCCCAAAGTGCTGGGATTACAGGCGTGAGCCACTGTGCCCAGCTGTTGTTAACTCTTAATTTGTAAGAGTTTAATTTACAAATTAAACCTTATCGTAGGTATGTATGTATAGTAAAAAACATGGTATATACAGAATTCTGTACTATCTGTGGTTTCAGGCATCCACTGGGGGTCTTGGAATGTATCCCCCCTGGATAAATGGGACCACTGTACATTGAAAAACAAGACCACACATTATTTTCAGCTCTTCCCATCAAGAGAAAGAATCAATTTGCCTGCATCCTGAATTTGATGTGGAATTTGACATGCTATTTGATATGCTTTGACACTAGTGCAGCTTGAACACTGGAATTTGTCCTCTCTTGTTGCTTTCTGAAACCCTGAGACCACCATAGGAAGGAGTAGGCTATGCCTATTGGAGGACGAGGCCATGTGGAGCAGAGAAGAGCCTTCCTGGCAAGGTAGACATTCGAGCTGCTTGCTGCCTGCAGCTGCAGGAGTGACCCAGCTGAATTCAGCCCAAATTGCCAGCCCAGAGGATCATAAACTACTGTTTGGGGTTTATAATGCAGCAGACTGACATGGCCTTGTTACTGGTGGAGAATATTTTTCCTCCCTTCACTAATGGCAAATTTTCCTTAGTCATGGTAATTAACACTATCTACCAGACAAACTCCAAATCTGAAAGACTTAACACAAGAAGCTTTATTTCTTGCTCAGTGAAATCTAAGGTGGATCTGGTGGCTCTCCTCCAGCTTGTAGCTAAGGGAACTTGTGGGCGCAAGGTGGCTGTGGCAGGGGAAGAGAGGGATGAGGCTCACCAGCTCTCCATTGCTTCAGCCTGCCACTCCTACACACACCCCACTGGTCAGAACTAGTCATGTGACTGTAAGGGAGGCTAGAAAATATAGGGGAGCTCCTGAAATATTGAGATGCCTGTCTTTGCCACAACGAACTTCCACGAATATAATTAGCTATGCCATCTGTACAGTTATCTGTTTAACATCTCTCTCCTCTATTAGACTGTGAACCCTTGAGGGTGGGAGCACATCTGTCTTGCATGGCACCTGGCCTATAGTAGGCATTCAGCGATGGTTGTTGAATTGCTAAGTGAATGAATAATCTGGCAGGTCACAATAGGATCTTTTGTGTTCAGCCCCCAGTGGCAGACATTCCTCAAGTAAATTTCTAACAGTCCTTCCCTTTCAGTAATATACATCTACTAATTTGATATTGTAAAACTCTTATACAATGATGATTAAATGAAGACAAGTAGAACATGAAAGTCCTCACTAATTAGGGTCGGGGTGTGGTGACATCCATTATTTGATAAGAGTGAATATTACATTTTATTATTATTTTGAGACAGAGTCTTGCTCTGTCGCTCAGGCTGGAGTGCAGTGGTGCAATCTTGACTCACTGCAATCTCTGCCTCCTGGGTTCAAGTGATTCTCCTGCCTCAGCCTCCCGAGTAGCTGGGATTACAGGCCCATGCCACCACGCCTGGCTATTTTTTGTATTTTTAGTAGAGACGGGGTTTCACCATGTTGGCCAGGCTGGTCTTCAACTCCTGACCTCAAGTGATCTGCCTGCCTCGGCCTCCCAAAGTGCTGGGATTACAGGCGTGAGCCCCCGCTCCGGGCCGATATTACATTTTTAATGGGCGGTTTTCATGTGGCTGCATCTGCGCAGCCTTGTCAAAAGTTCCTGCTCCAAGGCAAAAACCAGAGGAGTCTTTTTCTCTGTTGTGAGGTCTTGGATGAGTCTTCTGCTCTCTCTAAAGCTCATTTGTCTTATCTGTAAAGTGACAGGAACATCTGCCTCACTGGATTGTCATGAGGAGTAAATGAGTCTCTTTGTGGAATGGAGTGAAGGGTTGGCACGGTACCTGCCCTTGGCAGTCCTCGTGTTCCCCTCGCTCCACTGGTAGGTATCAGGCCAACACTCAGCTTGGAGGGAGCTGGGACAGGGTCTGTTGGAAGCTGGGAGGGGCAAGATAGAGGTCAGGGGCTGCCCCATGAGACCCTAGACACAACTAGGCCCTGTTCTGGGCAATGCTGGGTGCACAGAGATGAGACTGACTTGTCCCTGTCTGCATCAGTTAGCTTTTGCTGTAAAACAAAATAGCCTCAAACTTAGTGACTTAAAACCACAATGATTGGCCGGGTGCGGCGGCTCACGCCTGTAATACCAGCACTTTGGGTGGCCGAGGTGGGCCTATCACCTGAGGTCAGGAGTTGGAGACCAGCCTGGCCAACATGGCGAAACCCCCGTCTCTACTAAAAATATAAAAATTAGCCGGGTGTAGTGGCGCGTGCCTGTAATCCCAGCTACTCGGGAGGCTGAGGCAGAAGCAGAAGAATCGTTTGAAAACCCGGGAGGCAGAGGTTGCAGTGAGCCAAGATCGCACCACTGCACTCCAGCCTGGGTGACAGAGTGAGACTCTGTCTCAAAAAACAAAACAACAAAAACAAAACAAACAAACAAAAAAACACAATGATTTTATTTAGCTCAATTAGCTCATGACCTTGCGGGTCACTGGGCAATTCTAGCGTGGGCCAGCCTGGGTCAGATGATCTAGGGTGGCCGCTCTCGAGTATCTGCAGTTAGCAGGCTGTTGGCTGGGCCTCCGCACTTCCGCACATTCTTTTCCCTACGATCCCCTCCCTCTTTGAACCTGGTTTTGCTCAGGAGTCACTACCCCTCCATATGACGCATGAGCTCCACTTAGCTCGAGGAGTGCCATGGTTAGTGTAAGCACGTGCCCCATGAATGTAAGCTGGTGATTGGTCAGAAACGGCAAGTGATGCAGTTCTGACCAGTGAGATGTGTGGGAAAGTCGGTCAGGAGCGCTTCTGGGAAAGCTTCCTCCATCCCAAGAAAGAAATGTGGGAGCACCATTTTTTTTTTTTTCGAGACGGAGTCTCGCTCTCTTGCCCAGGCTGAGTGCAGTGGCGGGATCTTGGCTCACTGCAACGTCCACCTCCCGGGTTCAAGCAATTCTCCTGCCTCAGCCTCCCGAGTAGCTGGGACTACAGGCACGCACCACCACGCCCCGTCTCTACTAAAAATTTTTGTATTTTTAGTAGAGACGGGGTTTCACCATGTTGGTCAGGTTGGTCTTGAACTCCTGACCTTGTGATCTGCCCACCTCGGCCTCCCAAAGTGCTGGGATTACAGGCGTGAGCCACCGTGCCCAGCCGGGAGTAACTTTTATTGTGGGCTTATTATGCCAGGCGCTGCTTGTTCTAATTGCTTTATACAAAATAAGTCATTTAGTTCTCATAAGTTAGGTACTATCATTGTCCCCCATTTCACAGATGAAGAATCTGAGGCATAGAGTGGTTAAGAAACTTGCCAAGGGTCAAACAGCTATTGAGTGCTGGAGCCAGGATTTAATTCCAGGCAGCCTGACTCCAGAGTTCTGAGTTCTCAGGTACTACAATGACCCCTGGCTTCTTCCTCTGGTCATGGACCTCTTTAATGTGACACCTGCTGTAGCCATTGGGCCAGCAGTCTCGAGACAATACAGCCAAGAGACAGAAGGAGCCTGGAGAGCCGGGGTCCCTGTGCGCAGCTTTGGGAGTTGAATGGACCAGCACTGAAGCCCACCCTATCTGCTGACTTCTTGTTTTGTGTGAAACATATTTCCATCTTGTTGAAGCCATTTTGACTCAGAAAGTACCCTAATAGAGACACTGCTGCTGCCAGAAGAAACAGAAGGAGTGCAGGAAGACCCACTGGGCTCCAGGTAATCTGTTCTCACAAACCACTCAGCCCAGGTTAAGACACAACTCTACGGCCTTTCACCATGGGGGCCAGTTTTGAAGGCAGGAAAAACTGGTAAGAGATCGTTGGAAAGGATGGAAGAAATTGCAGAGAAAAATAAAATTATTTCATAATTCTCCTTTATTAGGCACAGGTAAACATACATACTCATGGTATCCAAAACCTAGAGTATGGACCTGGGATTGTGGACCCCAAGTGTCCCCAGAAGAGTCCCACCTGGGACTTTCCAGGTGGCCACAGGACAGACCCTGCCTAATCCTGTCCCTCAACCTTGGTGCTCAGGTCAGAAGCCCCATGGTTGACAGGCCTGGACCCTCATTCCAGAACAGTCTTGAGTTAGACAAGAACTAGCCTCATAGTTTGGATTCTTATCTCTGGCCCAAATCCCAGGCTTAGGCCTGGAAGGAGAATCTCTTAATCAAGAGGACAGAGATGCTGGGAACACAGTTCCCAGAGTGAGCTGGGCTTGGGTCCTGAGTTGCAGGGGAGAGGCCTGGAGCCTTTGGCACAGGGATACCTCCCTTTCTCTGAAAAGGTACAAGATACAAAGGCAGCTGGTTTGTTTGTGAAAGGGATTGTCCTTGGACAGAGGTGCCTGAGCACCAGCATCAGTGGAGGCCGACACTGGTACAAAGTGTACCCAGTGTAGACAGTGACCTATGGTCATGGAAAAGTGTTGTCAGCTCAAGGATGCCAGTTTGTCATCTCTGTGAGCAGGGAATATTGTCTCCTTTGCTCACTGCTGTACTCCCAGCACCGAGAACAGGGCTTGGCACCTGATAAGCACCCAAGCAGGAACTGCATGTGTGTGGAACAAAGCAGATGTGTACACAGCACACTCCACACAGGCTTCTGCCTTTCTCCCTTCTGGAAGGCACTGAAGGTTTGGCTCAGTTCAGAGGCAGGAGAAGGCTTGGAGCTACCCCCAAACTCAATCCACTGTTGGCAGCTGAGCGTGTAGTAGGGTGGTCCTAGCCATACAGAACCACTTCTCTGTCTCCCTCCTCTTCCCTGGCTTCGTCCAGCCCCAGTCCATCAGGGACCACCTGGGCAGCCTCCCAGAGATGGGATCGGGTTGGGGCTAAGGGCATCGGGTCCTGTCGCAGCCAGGGGTGCAGGAGGATGCCTGTGGCTGTGAGCCGTTCAGCTGGCTCCCGACGAAGGAGGCAGCGAACCAGACAGCGGGCAGGGGCCGAGAGGCCTGCAGGCAAGGCGTAGGCCCCGCGGCGGATCTTGCCGAAGAGCAGGACAGGCTCCGAGTCCTGGAAGGGGTAGTGGCCGGCCAGCATGGTGAAGAGCGCCACGCCCAGGCTCCAGACATCGGCTGCCTTGCCCGAGTATGAGGCCCGTGAGCTGAGTATCTCAGGTCCCACGTAGGCTGGGCACGCGTGCTTGTCCCACAGGGAATCATCTGGCCCAGTCAGCACGCAGGAGTCCTCCAGGTTCTCCAGCACCAGCTTCTTCCTGGGACATGGGGAGAAACAGAAGGGTCAGGTCCTACCCAGAACCCCCATGCCACCACCCCATGCTATCACCCTTGTGGCACCCACTTTCCAAGTGCCTGCTGGCCTTTGACAGACACAAGCCAGTCCTGTGATGTCTGATCCTGTTTTACAGATACCCAAGCCCAGGCTCAGAGAGGTTAAGTCATTTAAGGCCACAGAGCAATTAAATTTAAACTAAAATTCTGAAAGGAATACATTTTTCAACAGAGTCCCTTGGGGAGGGGGCTGATGGGGCTGAGAGGGTTAAGCCTCTCTTAAACCAGCTACAAACTTAGGGTCCAGGCAGGTAATAAGATGAGAGAAACAGGAAGTGTGCCTGACATCTCAGCACAAGCGCTACCTAAAAAGGGTACACAACGCATTCTAGGGTTTACCAAGTGCCTGCTGTGTTCCTGGCCCTTGACCCAGCTCATTACCTGGCTCACCTCATTCTATCTAGGCTACAGCCTGCAAGGAAGACACCATTTTACAGCTGTAGAGCATGGGCCTGGGATGGGAACGCTGGCTGGCAGATACTCAGAGCCAGTGCTGTGACCCACCCTCGCAGTTCCCAAGATGGCCCCACATTCCCATTGTTTTCCCCAAGAGAAGCCAGGAATTGTATTTTAATGAAAAGGTCCCCATTTAAAAAATATTGGCAACCAGTTTATATAAAAAACACAAACAGGTAAGCAGGGCAAAAAAAAAAGTGTGTAAGGCTGGGCGCGGTGGCTCATGCCGGTAATCCTAGCACTTTGGGAGGCCGAGGTAGGGGGATCACTTGAGTTCAGGAGTTCAAGACCAGCCTGGGCAACACGGTAAAAACCTATCTCTACAAAAAATACGAAAATTAGCAGGCATGGTGATTCGCACCTGTAGTCCCAGCTACTTGGGAGGCTGAGGCAGAAGGATATGACTTGAGCCCAGGAGGTGGCGGTTGCAGTGAGCTGAGATCGCGCCACTGCACTCCGGCCTGGGTGACAGAGTGAGACCCTGTCTCAAAAAAAAAAAAAAAGTGTGTCCTGCCATTTGCAATTTCTACTTTAAACAACTTCCACTGAGCACTCAAAGATGACTTTAATAGTAATCATTCTATTACCACTGCTATTAGTTTCTTCTTTATGGCATTACTTCCTGGGTGTCCAGTGGCATTTCACAAATACTGACCAATCCTATGAATCACAGTATTGGGGGACAAGGGGTGTCAGCATTATTAGCCCATTTTACAGATGAAGAAACAAAGGCTCAGGCAGGTGAAGTCATTTGCTCAGGGCCAAAAAGCAGGTAAGAAGCAGAACCCAGGATTTAAACACAGGTCTATCTAACTCACGGTCCCTCTTCTACCAATGACTCTCATGTGATTTTTCTTTTTTTTTTTCTTTTTTTTCTTTAGAGATAGGGTCTCACTCTGCCACCCAGGCTGGAGTGCAGTGGTGCAATCCTAGTTCACTGCAGCCTCAAACTTCTGGGCTCAAGCAATCCTCCTGCCTCAGCCTCCCAAGTAGCTGGGATCACAGGTGTGCATCACCACACCTGGCTAATTTTTATAAATTTTTTGTACAGATGGGGTTTTCTGTGTTGCCTAGGCTGGCCTCGAACTCCTGGGCTCAAGCAGTCCTCCTACTTTGGCTTCCCGAAGCACTGGGATAACAGGTGTGGGCCATCAAGTGACTTCTTGAAAAGAGCAGGAAGCACGCTGTCTCCTCCAGGAGGTCCGGGGTAGTTGTATCTACCCTAAGCCTAAAATGTGTTTGAAGTTATGTACTAGCTTAAACATCATTATAAATGTTACTTCTTTAAAAAAGGCATGCTTGTTCTAATATAAAATGTAGAAGGAAATATTAACAGAAAATCAGCCTTGGGGGCTGGGCGCAGCGGCCCATGCCTATAATCCCAGCACTTTGGGAGGCCAAGGCAGGCGGATTTCGAGACCAGCCTGGCCAACATGGCAAAACCCCATCTCTACTAAAAATACAAAAATTAGCCAAGTGTGGTGGTGTGTGCCTGTAATCCCAGCTGCTCAAGAGGCTGAGGCACGAGAATCACTTGAACCCGGGAGGTGGAGGTTGCAGTGAGCCGAGATCGTGCCACTGCACTCCAACCTGGGCAACAGAGCGAGACTCTGTCTCAAAAAAAAAAAAAAAAGAAAGAAAGAAAAAAAAGAAAAAGAAAATTAGACTTAGGCAAGCACCACAATAATAACTGCTATAGGCAAGATGGATGGCTGCTAAAATTAGTGGGTGAAAGTTGAGGAAAAACAGGATATTTATATGCCTAGCTTACCTCCCCCAAGGTATTTGTCAATTACAAAGGGTAAATTAGGACCTTACAGTAGAGAAACCTGGTAGGTCCTGCCCTAACCAAGTGATCAAGGTCACGACATAGGAATGACTATCAGCTCAAGTATCTCTTGATATGATGTGGAGAGGGGCCTATCGATTCTGTGTTGTTCTTGCCAAAAATACATAACTGCAATCTAACTGTGAGAAAACATCAATCAAATCCAAATTGAGGGACATACAAAGTAACTGATCAGTACTCTTCAAAAGTCTCAAGGTTATGGCCAGGAGCAGTGGCTCACGCCTATAATCCCAGGATTTTGGGAGGCTGAGGCAGGCAGATTGCTTGAGCTCAGGAGTCTGAGACCAGCCTGGGCAACATAGCAAGACCCCATCTCAATTAGCCAGGTGGGGTGGCACACACCTGTAGAACCAACTACTCAGGAGGCTGAGGTGGGAGGATCACTTGAGCCCGGGAGGTTGAGGCTGCAGTGAGCTGTGATCACACCACTGCACTCCAGCCTGGGTGACAGAGTGAGACCCTGTCTCAAAAAAAAAAAAGTGTCAAGGTCATGGGTCTTCAAAGACAGGGAAAGACTGAGGAACTGTCTCAGATTGGAAGAGACCAAGGAAACCACTGATGACTAAATTGGGATCCTCACTGGATCCTGCACAGCAAGGGGTGTTAGTGGGAAACTCGGGAAGTGGGAATCAATCTGTGGCTTAGTTAATAGTTTGGGTAATTGTACCATAGCTACGTCAGGTGTTAACATTGGAGAGCACTGGTTAAAGGATATGCAGAAACTCTTTGAACTATTTTTGTAGGTTTTCTAAAAGTCTAAAATTATTTCAAGATAAAAAGTTTTTTAAAATGCCATGGGGTCACACTCCTTTCTCCACAGAAAACTCCTGTGTAACTGGCAGCTTAGTGCACTCCCTGACACATCTTGACTGCCCCCAGGAATCTGGAGAGGGAACAGGAGGCGAGTCTCTCTGCCCTTCTCCCCAGAATTATCTTTTAAAAATTTTTCTTAGCGTCTAGGCTGGGTGCAGTACCTCACACCTGTAATCCCAGCACTTTGGGAGGCCGAGGCAGGCGGATCACCTAAGGTCAAGAGTTCAAGACCAGCCTGGCCAACATGGCAAAACCCCGTTTCTACTAAACATAGAAAAAATGAGCCAGGCATGGTGGCGCATGCCTGTAGTCCCAGCTATTCGGGAGGCTGAGGCAGGCGTATCACTTGAACCCAGGCAGCAGAGGTTGCAGTGAGCCAAGATCGCGCCATTGCATTCCAGCCTGGGTGACAGAGTGAGACTCTGTCTCAATTAAAAAAAAAAAAATTCTTAGCATCCCAACCTAGAGAAGGAAGATTCTTTTAACCAAAAAGTGCTAATTCTCAGTTTCACAGAAAACGTTCCCGTGTGGGGAACCTCAGACCCTATTTTGGCTGTGGTCTTGGAATCCTGAAAACACCCTAACAATCCAGCCCTTTTCCTTACCAACGGAGAAACTGAGGCTCAGAGACACTAGGTCACCCAAAGTCAGTTGGTAAGCCCAGCCAGGCCCCTGCCTCTCAAGCTCAGATTGAATTAAGACCCAGGCTCTGGAGTCAGATCTAGGTTCAAATCCCAGCTCTACCATTTATTCTGCTATGGGATCTTGGGCAAGTTACTTGAGCTCTCTGGGCCTCAGTTTCCTTGATCATATGGGGATAATAACAGTACCTGCCTCGTGTTTGTAAGGATGGAAGACCACGTTAGATAATGTGGCGATGCTTTCGTCACTGTCGGCTACTATGACTTTCACATCTCAGTGCTCCATCCCAGAATCCCAAGGGGCTCCCAAGAGGACTGAGTCAACTCTTTTTTTTTTTTTTGAGATGGAATCTCACTCTGTTGCCGAGGCTGGAGTGCAGTGGCGTGATCTTGGCTCACTGCAACTTCCGCCTCCCAGGTTCAAGCAGTTCTCCTGCCTCAGCCTTCAGAGTAGCTGGGATTACAGGTGTGCGCCACCACACTAGGCTAATTTTTGTATTTTTAGTAGAGACGGAGTTTCACCATGTTGGCCAGGCTGGTCTCGAACTCCTGACTTCAAGTGATTCACCCACCTCGGCCTCCCAAAGTGCTGGGATTAAAGGCGTGAGCCACTGCACCTGGCCTGAGTCAACTCTTCTCAGGGAACTAAACAGGGGCTGCTGGTTACTTCAGTTTCTCCCACTTCTTGCCTAAGTTACCTTGCCTTCCTGGGCCTCGGTTTCTCTCCATCATGGCCCACCCCCTGGGTGTGTCTGTGGCTGGGGTCTCTGAGACCACACTCACCTCTCACGGTCAGCGAAGACAAAGCGACACAGCTTGAGATCACGCAGGACCAGACCGTGCTGGTGACAGTGCGCCAGGGCGGTGGCCATCTGGCGGAAGAGCACGGCAGCCTCAGGCTCAGGGATACGGTGGCGGCTTCGCACCAGGCTGTGCATGTCCCCATGGGTCCGAGTGAAAAAGGCGTAGAGGAGCTGGGTACCAGCCAGGACCTCAGTGGGCCGAGCCACATGCTTGTGCGGGGGCAGCCGCGCATAGGGCTCCAGCACGGCCAGGGCTTCCTGGACGGGGTACACCTGTGGGCAGAGCATGGTGTTAGCACAGCTGGGGACTCCCGGGAGCTGAGGCTGGCATTGCAAACAGTCACAGCTGACCTATTAGACACTACCATGTGCTAGGCATCGCACCAAGCGCTTCACTGACCGAGTCACTCAGCCCTGACCATGGTCCTATAAGGTAGGATGACTTGCTCCATTTTACGGTTAACGAAGCTGAGAGGCCACACAGCCAGCAAACAGCACGGCTGAGATTTGCACGTATGCACTCCACTGTCTGTGCTTTTTTTTTTTTTTTTTTTTTTTGAGACGGAGTCTCGCTCTGTCACCCAGGCTGGAGCACACTGGCGCAATCTCAGCTCACTGCAAACTCCGCCTCCTGGATTCAAGTGATTCTCCCGCTTCAGCCCCCAGTGTAGCTGGGATTACAGGCATGTGCCACCGCACCTAGCTAATTTTTGTATTTTTAGTAGAGATGGGGTTTCATCATGTTGGCTAAGCTGGTCTCGAACTCCTGACCTCAGGTGATCCTCCCGCCTCAGCCTTCCAAAGGGCTGGGATTACAGGTGTGAGCCACTGCACCCGGCCTTTTGTCTGTGCTCTTAACTGCTACGCTATATGGCCTCAAACATCGGATAACTGAAAAGTAACAGGTCACCCAAACAGAAAAATAACCCACAAAGCAGGAGGAATCCGGAAGGGCGGATGATGCAGAAGGCACCTGATGCTCATCACCGTCACAGCTCCCGTCCTCTTTGCCCACCCACGCTTTCATTCATTCAGTATGCTGGCCCTGGGCCTGCACGGGCCAGCCACATGTCCAGCTAGACTGACAGCCATGGGCTCTGCTCTCCGGTGCCCACTGGGAGGCCATGCAAACATGCCCAGAAACCAAATATTGACAAATGCTGATAAGCATTGCAAAGGAACCAAGAAAGATGCTGGAATAAGGGTTTTCCTGTTTGTTTTTTGTTTTTTTGAGACGGAGTTTTGCTCTTGTTGCCCAGGCTGGAGTGCAGTGGTGTGATCTCGGCTCACTGCAACCTCCACCTCCCAGGTTCAAGAGATTCTCCTGCCTCAGCCTCTCGAGTAGCTGGGATTACAGGCCCCTGCCACCATGCCCGGCTAATTTTTTGTATTTTTAATAGAAACAAGGTTTCACCATGTTGGCCAGGATAGTCTCGAACTCCTGACTTCAGGTGATCTGCCTACCTCGGCCTCCCAAAGTGCTGGGATTACAGGTGTGAGCCACCGCGCCCGGCCACCTGACACGTATTTTACTTATTCGCTTGTTTAGTGTCTGTATCTCCCACTAGAACGTCAGCTTGATGAGAACAGAACTTTGTTTTTTAACCACAGCATGGTACATGGCAAATACGGGTGCTCAATGAAGTTGTGTTGAATTAATGAATAAGTTGATCATTTACAAAGACAAGATTTTGATCTTTCTACACACTGACCAGAAAAGCTGAGGAAGTGTGGAAATGACCATTCAGCACCCATGGTGCACATTGGCATAGGGGTGAGTATGTTCCAGTGGATTTTCCCAAATGTTTCTTGAGAATCAGGGCCCTGTGAACGCATGGCGCTTCTCTCCTGAGCCTGCTTGGGTTATTCCTCTTATCATGGACTCACCTCCCCAGCGGGAGTGGAAAAGAGCCTGTGATGCTGCAGGAAGGGGACCCAGAGTTCTGGGCTCCTTAGGGCACCTGGTAAGGGCGCTGGAGATCTGTGCACAAGAGGCCAGGTGAAGCTAGGGGCTGGACCCTGTCTGGATCTGCCCCGCTGTTCACTGCATCTCCGTCAACAGAGCAAAGCTCTGCTGCTGCCCCAGGAGGAGGCTTAAGTCCTTCTGCTTCTCTGTGCATTCCCAAGGGACCCAGGCCCCCGCTACTCTCCCTTGGGTTTCCAGGTCCCCCTTATCTTCCTTATGCTTGCCTGCCAGGGCAGCCTGCCCTGATTGTGTGAAACGCTTATCCTAGCACGGGCACAGGACTCTCTGGGCTCAGCCTCCTGGGCCCAATCCCAGCTCTGATACCACCTGGCTCTGTCATGTGGCAAGTAACCATGGCTTTCTGAGTCTCAGTGTCCTCTATCTATAAAAGGGGCACAATGATAGAAACCACCTCATTGGTTGTGTCAAGATTAAAAGAGATTGTGCACACTAAGCAATCATCATAGTACCTGGTGCACAGTGAATACCTATTGTTACACTTTTTATTCTCATCTCTGTCTTCTTGGACTGTCACTTGTCAGTGTCCTGCATGGGCTGACCCTCAGGGGCCTTGACCCTGTCCATTTCCTGGTTTCTGCCAGGAATCCTCAGACTTTTCTACCCCTTAGTTTACCCCAGGAGCCAGGCCCAGTGCTATGTGACTTCACGCATGGCCCTTCTCCTGTCTTCATCTCAGTCTTCCTATCTGTAAAATGGCCCCAGGTTAGGCTCGATCACCTCCGAGGTCCCAGGAGTTTTGATGTCTACCATGCCCTACCCTTCTCTTGTGCAAACATCTTCAGTAGCTCCGCACAGCCCAGTGGAGGCCCCTTGTTAACACCTTCATGACCAGCTGCTGCCAACCTTCATCTCCTGCCCCTTTCTGCACATCCTCTCCACTCTGGCCACAGAGAAGTCCTTTTCATTCTCTAAAGTGCTATCCCCTCACTTTTCTAGGCCTTTGAACAGCTGTTCCCCCTGCCTGCAACTCCCATCTCCCACTTCTACCTGGCTAACTTCTGCTCGGCCTTTTCTGCGCCCATGATCCCTAAGTTCTACCCCTGCAGCATTTATCACACTGTAGGGCCTAAGCTGTGAACTCCCCCAGGACTGGGACGACCTCTGGTTTACCTCTCTAGTATCAGTCCAGCAGGGGCTCCCTGGATGCTTCCCCACTAAACAAACACAAGAATGAATGAACATAAGGACCCCTCTGCACCCTGGCAATCCTTTGGAGGCCTCCTTCCCAGGCCTCCTGTGGTGCTGGGGGACAGCCGCCCATGGGCACGTACCTTGCAGGTATACTCAGTGCCTGTAGGGCAGTGCAGGGCCTGGTAGGCCCGCCCGCCCTCCTCGGGCTCCAGGAGGACATAGGGCCCAAGACGGGAGGCAGTGGCCACAGCAGTTGCACGATCTGGAGCAGTAGGTGGGCTCAGGGGCAACAGGCAGGGGGGCAGTCTGGGCTGGGGCCCACTTCGAGCTCGTTTCTGGACGGGACGCTCGGTATCTAAGTTGTCATCCAACTCCAACCGCTTCTTCCTGGACAGGGAACCCGCAGGAGCAGCCAGAGGGGTGGCTCGCATCTGGTAAAAAGGAGAGAAAAGCACTAAAGTGAGACTGCTTGGTGGCCCCTCCTTTCCCCTGCTGGTGGGAGGATACGTGGCACAACATTTATAGGGGGTGATCTGGCAGTGTGTGTTAAAATGACAAAGTCACATATCCTTAACTGGGTGCCCCACTTCTGGGAATTTATCTTCCAGTTAAACTTCTCACAAAAAAATTAAATATAGTAAAGGCTGTTCATCAGAGCCTTGTGTCCAATAGCAAAAGCAGGAAATATCCCAAATGTCAGGCAGTAGAAAGCTAGTGAAAACATCATGGTATAGCCATACAGCAGAATACTACACAGCCCTGAAAAAGGACAAGGAAGCTCTCTATATACTGATGCGTACTGATCTCCAAGATGTATTAAGAGAAGAAAGACAAACACAGAATTACGTGTTATAGAATGCTTTTATGGTGGGTTTTTTTTTTTTTTTCCCCAAGAGATGTTGCCCACGCTGGTCTCAAACTCGTGGCCTCAAGTGAACCTCCCACCTCAGCTTCCTAAGTAGCTGGGACTCTAGTAGTGAACCACCACACCTGGCTATACTTTTATGTTAAAAAGAATATATATAAATATGTTATATATATGTATGTATTTGTTTGAATATCTATCATCTCTCTCTCTGAAAGGATGCACAAGATTAGGAGGAGACTCTTACTATTACAGTTCACTTGCAGCCTCGACCTCAGGGTTCAGGTGATTCTTCCACCTCAGCCTCCCAAGTAGCTGGGACTACAGGTGTGCACTATGATGCCTGACTAATTTTTTTTTATTCTTTGTAGAGATGGGGGTCTCCCTACATTGCCTAGGCTGGTCTCACCTGAGCTCAAGCAATCCTCCTGCCTCAGCCTCCCAAAGTGTTAGGATTACAGATGTGAGTCACCATGTTTGGCCGACTTTTATAGTTTTGAATTTGAGCCATGTAAATGTATTTCCTGGCCAGGCGTGGTGGCTCACGCCTGTAATCCCAGCACTTTGGGAGGCCAAGGTGGGCGAATCATGAGGCTGGGAGTTCAAGACCAGCCTGGCCAACATGGTGAAACCCTGTCTCTACTAAAAAATACAAAAATTAGGCCAGGCGCAGTGGCTTATGCCTGTAATCCCAGGTAGCAGCACGTGACCAAGGCAATGCCAAAGTGCAGCCCACGGCAGCACTTTGGGAGGCCAAGGTGGTGGATCATGAGGTCAGGAGTTTGAGACCAGCCTGGCCAACATGGTGAAACCCCATCTCTACTAAAAATAGAAAAATTAGCCAGGCGTGGTGGCGTGGGCCTGTAATCCCAGCTACTTGGGAGGCTGAGACAGGAGAATCACTTGAACCCGGGAGGTGGAGGTTGCAGTGAGCTGAGATCACACCACTGCACTTCAGCCTGGCCAACAGAACAAGACTCCGTCACGGGAGAAAAAAAAAATTAGCCGGGCGTGGTGGTGCATACCTGTAATCCCAGCTACTGGGAAGGCTGAGGCAGGAGAATCGCTTGAACCCAGGAGGCAGAGGTTGTAATGAGCCGAGATTGTGCCACTACACTCCAGCCTGGGTGACAGAGCAAGACTCTGTCTCAAAAAAAAGTATTTTGTAATCAGAAATGTACATTTAAGGAAATAAATACCTGCTTAAAAACACAGCTTGTTTCTAAAAATTATAGTTAAGAAAATCAACTAATCTCATAATCCATGGCTCTCGTACATTCACAGATGAGAGATATGATCTTGTTCATTCACTTAACACTGGGTGCTAGGAAGAGAAGTAGGTTAGACAGCAGTCTTGCCGTCAGGATCTTCCAGTCAATTTGGAGGGCAGATGAGTAATAAAATCACGTCCAAGGCTAGGTGCAGTGGCCCACACCTGTAATCCTAGCACTTTGGAAGGCCATGGTGGGAAGACTGCTTGAACCCAAAAGTTCAAGACCAGCTTGGGCAACATAGTGAGACCCTGTCTCTACAAAAAAAAATTTTTTTTTAATTAGCTGGGTGTGGTGGTGGATGCCTGTAGTCCCAGCTACTTGGGAGGCTGAGGTGGGAAGATTGCTTGAGCCTGGGAGGTTGAGGCTTCAGTGAGCCATGTTTGTGCCACTGCACTCCAGCCTGGTGACAGAGTAAAGACTCTCTCAAAAAAAAAAAAAAAAATCACATACAGTGTGATCAGCCCTACTATACAGAGAAGCATGGGCCTCTAGGAACCCAGAGAGGCCTCTCTCCTGGGCTGGTGGGTCAAGAGAGGTCTTCCTAGAAGAGGTGGTGTCTACACTGAGACCTGAAAGTGAGGCAGAGTTAGCCAGGTGACACGGAGAGTCATACTGCGGTTCAGTGGTTCTCAAACTTGAGCAAGCATTGAGATCATCTGGAGGCCTGTTTCAACATACATTGCTGGGCCCTACTCCCAAAGTAGCTCATTCAGAAGGTCTGAATCTGCATTTCTATCCAGTTCCCAGGTGAAGTTGATGCCGCTGTCCAGTAACCCCTGTTCTGGGGTGAGGGAAGAGGCAAAAGAACATGCTGCATGTTCCCCAAGAACACGGTGGAGAATGAGCGTGACTGCAAAAAAAAGTGAAAAGTTAAAAAAAAAAAAAAAATAGGCCGGGCGTGGTGGCTCACACCTGTAATCCCAGCACTTTGGGAGGCCGAGGCAGGCAGGTCACCTGAGGTCAGGAGTTTGAGACCAGCCTGACCAACATGGTGAAACCCCGTCTCTACTAAAACTACAAAAATTAGCCGGGCGTGGTGGCACACGCCTGTAATCCCAGCTACTCAGGAGTCTGAGGCAGGAGAGTTGCTTGAACCCAGGAGGCAAAGGTTGCGGTGAGCTGAGATAGTGTCATTGCACTCCGGCCTGGGCGACAAGAGTGAAACTCCGTCTCAAAAATAAATAAATAAATAAAAATAAGGTGAGGTTAGTAGAGGCCCTATTGTGAAGGGCTCTACGAGCATCATATGGCAGAGGTGGTTAGTGGTCCCCAGTTTCAGGTCTCCCCTCCTTACATAGGATTAGAACCTGAGATTTTCAGCTGAGCACAAGGACACCTAGAATAAACTGCATTTCCTGTCTCCCTTGTATCCTTGTATCAGCATATGGCTAGTAGGACACAAGTGGAAGTGTTGTGTACAATGCCCAGGACAGTGTTCTTAAAGGGAGGGCCCAACTTCCTCATTTCCTCCTTTCCTGTATGCTGGAATGTGGACCTAACTGCTGGAGCTCCAGCATCTACCTTGGCTTCAGAAGTACCACATACAGTAGAGCAAGAGAGGAGCCTAGGTCCCTGACACATGGAGTTGTCAGGCCAGACCTCCAGGTTTTTTACACAGGAGAGAAATAAACATCTATTGAAGGCTGGGCGCAGTGGCTCATGCCTGTAATCCCAGCACTTTGGGAGGCCGAGGCAGGCAGATCACAAGGTCAGGAGATCGAGACCATCTTGGCCAACATGGTGAAACCCCATCTCTACTAAACATACAAAAATTAGGTGGGCATGGTGGTGCATGCCTGTAGTCCCAGCTACTCGGGAGGCTGAGGCAGGAGAATCACTTGAGCCTGGGAGGCAGAGGTTGTAGTGAGCTGAGATCTCGCCACTGCACTCCAGCCTGGGGACAGAGCAAGACTCTGTCTCAAAAAAAGAGAAAAAGAAGAAAAAAACGTCTATTTCATTTTAGCTATTAAGTGGCTGTTTCTATATTACAGCTGAGCCTAATCCTAATTAACACACAATAGGATTTGGAATTATCCAAAGGCAGTGGGGAGCCACTGAAGGATTTCAGCAGGGGAACATCATGCTTTTAGGGTGGATTTGAAAGTACAAGACGGGGCAGTGAGACTAGCTAGGAGGCCCACACAAGCACGAGTCCAGGCAGGAGAAGGTGACCTGGACTAGGGGGTGCTAGATGGAGACGCGAAGTTAAGGGCTCATAGGAGGAAGATCAAGAGGACTCAGTGGCAGACTGGATGGACTGGATGGATTGGATGTGAGGGGTGAAGGAGAGGGTGGAATCGAGGTGAGGTCCAGCCTTTGGCTCCTGCAATGAGGAGGGATGATGGCTTCATGTCCTGAGCTGGGGGAGAAGCCTGTATTTTGGGGACTGTGGAAGAAAACTGTTAAGTATTTCAGACCCTTATGTCTTGGCAGTGTCATGAAAAGTGGGTTTATACTGTGGAATAGTGGCAGTGCAGCCACTAACAATGAAGACAGTGCTAGTGGGAGGATAAAAGGTACCACCTCTGAGGAGTGCATTTTGACAATATCAAAATGAAAAACAGGCTGGGTGCAGTGCTTCATGCCTGTAATCCCAGTACTTTGGGAGGCTGAAGCAGGAAGATCACTTGAGCCCAGGAGTTCAAGACCAGCCTAGGCAACGTAGCGAGACCCTGTCCCTAAGAAAAAAAAAATTATCTGGTCATGATGGCACACAGCTGTAGTCCCAGCCATGCAGGAGGTTGAAGTAGGGGAATCACTTGAGCCCAGAAGGTAAAGGCTTCAGTGAGCCATGGTCAGGAACTCTAGCCTGTGCAACAAAGTGAGACTGTCTCAAAACAAAGCAAAACAAAACAAAACAAAAACAACGATGAAAAGCGTGTGAGCTTTGATTCAGCAATTAATCCCATTGCTAAGAATTTATTCTGTAGAGGTGTGTGTGTGTAAGCATGCAAATACACAGTTATTCCTGCAGCCCTTTTGACAGAAATAATTGGCTGTCTATAATTACAGGGCTGGTTACATAAATTATACTTCATCCACACAACGGAACAATGTGCAGCCATTTAAAAGGTTGAGGATGCTCTTTATAGGGTAATTGGAAGGATCTCCAGAGTGAACTGTTAAGTGAAAGGAAAGCCACCATTCACGCAGCTGTGTGACTGTGTGTGTGGTGGCTGAAGGAGAGGGCAGTAGGGCATGGTCAGGGCAGACGGGTTCTCTCTAGAACCCATCTGCCCACCCACTTAAACTCCATTCCAAGGAGGTGCATGCCCAGGTATGGGCATTGGTGCGAGAGACCTCAGCCTGGTTAAAGACCTTCCCAACAGTTCAAGGCAGGATTAACAAGGCAACATGAGTCAGTTACCAGACAGAGGCCCACCTCTCCAAGTACGCTGCTCCCAAATGGAAGAGCTGCCTTGGAAGGGAAGGCCTCCCCACATGAGTGAAAGGTCATGACTTTGGCTTGGTAAGAATGCAGTAAGGAGTGGCTGTAGTCAGATATTCCTGGGTTCTAATCCTGTCTCAAACCCTTTCTAGCTGGGGGGTACCCCTGGTCAAGTTCCTCAAGCTTTCTGAGCCTCAGTTCCTGTAAAGTGGGAACAGGATGCAAAGCTTACAGGTTTTTCGTGATGATGAAATGAAAACACAAATGAAGCATGTAGAGCTTATGGACCTGTTGCCAGGTAGGTGTCAGGAAATGGTCATTATTAGCACTCATCCTGTTATTCTTCACAGCAAGATGCATAAGTACCATCCTTGGGAGTCTTAGAAAGCTCCCCAGGTTCGAGGCTGGGATGACACTCCTTACATCTCAAGGCTGTTCTGAGTCACGCAGGATGATACCTGGCTGTGCACATGCTTTGTGCCCTGTGCAGCAGGAGACTGCCTGGAGTCCCTCTGGCCTGTGCCACATCAGTAGTCCAGGCTGCCTTGGCCCCGGCCATCCCTCAGAGCCTGTTGGGGCCTGGGATAAGCTCCACCCAGATGGGGACAGATGCGGTAACTGAGTCTATACATCTTGGGCAAGGCATTTTGCAGACCACACTGCAGAATAGAATCTGTGATGTGGAATGAAAGCAGCCCCTAATATCTACCTCTTGCTGTTCCCTGCCACACTCGGGACCCAGGGAAATGAGGGCGGGTTACATCAAGCGCAAGCGCGCGCGCGCACGCACACACACACACACACACACACACACAGCCCTCCCAGCTGTCACACCCATGGTCTACCCGAGCAAGGCCGCACCCCCACCCCGCCCCGCCCCCCGCAGCCAGGCCCCTCCCGTGGGAGCCCAAGCGAAAGGCGGCGGGTGTCCGAGTCAGAAGTTTCAGCGGAAATTGAAGCGCGGCCCTGGGACAGGAGGGGGGTGAGGCAGAGGGAAGGAGGTGGCTGTCGTCCCCCGCCCTCCCCGGTCTGCAGGCACAGCACACACCGCAGACACGCGCGCACCGTCCACCTGCAAACCCGGAGCCGCGCACTGGGGAGAACCAGCGGCCCTGCCGGGCCAGAGATCGCGCGCTGCGCCCCCGCTCCCACTCCCTCGGCTCCCCCGCTCCAGGGCACCCCAGCCCTGTCCCGGCGGTGTCCCCTGCACCGCCAACCCCTGCCACCAAGTGCCCAGCCCTCCAGACAGCTCTCACCATCTCCTGAGACACAGGTGCTCGGGACCCACCCTCACCCAGGACTCTCCCCTGCGGGTTCACGAGGACCCCCTCGGATCCCCCGCCACCCCCAGAGTCCTCCAGTGCCCCCCACAAGCCCCTCACCGCACCACACGACTCCCCTATCCCGCACTCACGCAAAACAGACCCCCGCACGCCCTCCTCTAGGGGTGACGGCCGGACACCTCCGTCCCTGGCTTCCCCAGCCCAACTCGGGCGACCCCACGCTCCGCGGGGCCGCGTCACCTGAAGCCCGGGGGGAGCACTCAGCCCAGGCCCGGATCAAAAGGGATCTGACCTGGCCGCGCCCCGACGGCGGGGTCTGTGAAAAGGTGTGTAAGGGGCGTGCGTGCGTGTAACACGCGGCAACACGCAGACGCCCAGAGGCTTCCGGCGCCCCCTTCCCCGGCCGCCCCCTCCCGCCCCCCGGCCTCCGGGCGAGTCCGCAGGCCGCACCCCGCCGAGTACCTCGCCCCGTCGTTCCGCGTGGGCCCGGGCGCCGCCGGGGCTCAGAGCCTCCAGGGCACCAGCAGGTGGGCCGGCCCGCTGCGCTGCTGCCGAGCTCGGGATCCCAGCCCAGCTCCAGCCCTGCCCGGGTCCTAGCAGCGGACGCGCGCGGAGCCGCCTCCACTTCCGCTGCGAGTCTCGTGCGCGCCCGGCCCCCGGTCCGGGTGATGCAAACCGGAGCTAATCCCCCGGTCCGGGTGATGCAAACCGGAGCTAATCCCCCGGTCCGGGTGATGCAAACCGGAGCTAATCAGCCGCCGTCTGATGCCCTCGGGCCCGGGATCGCACCATCCCCCGCGCCGCGCCCGGGCCTCTCTCCTCTGCATCCGCTGCACCTGGGACCCGCCCTCGCTGGCCCCCTAGGGGCGTCTGGTCAGTGCAGACATCAGCCACGGACTCTCCCTATCACCTTGGAAAAAAAATTTGCTCTTTTTTTTTTTTTTTTTGAGACAGAGTCTTGCTCTGTCGCCCAGGCTGGAGGGCGGTGGCGCGATCTCGGCTCACTGCAAGCTCCGCCTCCCGGGTTCACGCCATTCTCCTGCCTCAGCCTCCCGAGTAGCTGGGACTACAGGCGCCCGCACCACGCCCGGCTAATTTTTTGTATTTTTAGTAGAGACGGGGTTTCACCTTGTTAGCCAGGATGGTCTCGATCTCCTGACCTCGTGATCCACCCGCCTCGGCCTCCCAAAGTGCTGGGATTACAGGCGTGAGCCACCGCGCCCGGCCAAAAATTTGCTCTTCTGAGCCTCGGTTTCCCCACCTATGAAATGGGAAGAACATTCCTCCTTCTCAGGATGGTGCTTAAAAGAGCAAACAGTGACTGTTGTCGGGGTGCTTCCCCTTTTTTATAAAGCACATTCCCAGCACTGCCTTATAAAACCTTTAGGAGAAGTGGACATGCGGGAATCTCCATTCTCCACATTCTACTGAGAGCCAGCCTGAGGCCCAGCTATGGGCAAGTGGTTCAGAAGCTTCAGGAAGGCCTATGGACTTAAGAGCTGACTCTGGGCTCAAAGGAACCACCGTGGCGCCCTTGGGAGGCCTAAGGTCTGCTGAGCTTCCCCGCGTCCCTTTGCTAGAGGCAGTGCGGCCTAGTGGTGAAGAGCCCCTAGAGCCAGCTGGCCTAAGAGTGCACTCCACCTCCGCTCCAACCCACAGTGCTACCCCAGAAAAGCTACCTAAAACCCTGCCTCAACTTCCTGCTCCATAAAATGGGCTCATAATTGCGCTCACTTCATAAAGTTGTTGTGAGGATTAAATAATTTAATATGTGTAAGACGCTTAGAACAGTGTGTGGCACATTGCGGATGCTCAGTGGAGTGTAAACAATGGAGACAGAGAGGGAAAGAGGCCTTTAATATGCTTGCACCCAAGGCCTGGGAGGGCTTGGTGCTACTTGATTTGGGGTGAAACACCCCTCTGCGTCCTAGGCGTCCAGCACCTTTCTTTTTTTTTCTTTTTTTGAGGCAGAGTTTCACTCGTTGCCCAGGATTGAGTGCGATGGCACGATCTCGGCTCACTGCAACCTCCACCTCCCGGGTTCAAGCGATTCTCCTGCCTCAGCCTCCCAAGTAGCTGGGATTACAGGCATGCGCTACTATGCCTGGCTAATTTTGTATTTTTAGTAGAGACAGGGTTTCTCCATGTTGGTCAGGCTGGTCTCGAACTCCTGACCTCAGATAATCCACCTGCCTCGGCCTCCCAAAGTGCTGAGATTACAGGCATGAGCCACCGCGCCCGGCCTGGGTCCAGCACCTTTCTTAGAAATCCCTTTTGATCTGAATTCACCAGTGTCAAAAAATAACTCCTCAGCTGGGTGAGCTGGCTCATGTCTGTAATCCTAGCACTTTGGGAGGCCAAGACGGGAGGATTGCTTGAGGCCAGGAGTTTGAGAACAGCCTGGATGACATAGTAAGACCCTGTCTTTACAAAGAGAAAAAGATAGCGGGCATGGTGGTACGAGCTTGTGGTCCCAGCTACTTAGGAAGCTGAGGTAGGAGGATCACTTGAGCCCAGGAGTTCAGGTTACAGTGAAACGTGATTGTGCCACTGCACTCCAGGTTGGGTGACAGAGTGAGATCCTGTGTAATAAATAAATAAGTAAGTAAGTAAAATAACTCCTCTAGAGGCTGGGCGTGGTGGCTTATGCCTGTAATCCCAGCACTTTGGGAGGCTGAGGCAGGTGGATCACGAGGTCGGGAGATCAAGACCATCCTGGCTAACACGGTGAAACCCGTTTCTACTAAAAGTACAAAAAATTACTAAAAATACAAAAAACACACCTGTAGTCCCAGCTACTCGGGAGGCTGAGGCAGGAGAATCGCTTGAACCCAGGAGGCAGGAGTTGCAATGAGCTGAGATTGCGCCATTGCACTCCAGCCTGGGCGACAGAGCAAGACTCCGTCTCAAAAAAAAAAAAAAAGTAAAATAAAATAAAATAACTCCTCTAGGCAGAGGCTGGATGGGAGGCAGGGTGGAGTCATATTTGTTTTCCTGTTTCCAAATCCCTGGGGACCAGCTCACCTGTGTCCCAGAGCCTTCAGGGTATACCAGGGCATTCTGGGATCTCATTTAATCCTGGCAACTCCCCTGCTGGGGAGGGGTGAATAAACTCATCCTCTATCCTGGGACACCGAAATGGTTAGGAAGATCCCACAGCTGTGAGGGGTGAAGAAAGGTGGGAGGGCTGTTTCCTGAGCACCCCTCTGAAGGTGTGCTGGGTTTGCTTGTACATTCCCAACTAACGTTGTTTTGTGCTGTGTCAGCCCCTGTTCTAAATGCTGGGGACTCAGCAGTGACCAGAATGATCCACCCCTGCTCTTACAAATCTTATAAATCAGTGGAGAGATAGACCATTATCAGGAAAATAAAATTAAAACCATGATCATTTAAAATAGATTGCATCATGCATTTTCTTGAATAAAATAGGAAAGACTTGTTCTCCGTCATGACTGAGGGTGGCCATTTTCAGCAGGGCTTATCAGAAAGGTGATGTTTAAACTAAAAGCTGAGGGAAGAGAAGGGGTGAAGAGTGCAAAGATGTGAAAGGGAGACAGAGAAAAACAGTAAGTCACCTCCATTCTGCAGACAAGAAGAGTTAAGGTAAGGGACCTACCCAAGACCACCCAGCTGGTCGTATAAGACTGATTTCAGGCTGGGCGCGGTGGCTCACGCCTGTAATCCCAACACTTTGGGAGGCTGAGGCAGGCGGATCACCTGAAGTCAGGAGATGGAGACCAGCCTGGCTAAGGTGGTGAAACCCGGTTTCTGCTAAGAATACAAAAATTTAGCCGGGCGTGATGGCATGTACCTGTAATCCCAGCTACTCGGGAGGCTGAGACAGGAGAATCGCTTGAACCCAGGAGGCGGAGGTTGCAGTGAGCCAATTGCGCCACTGCATTCCAGCTTGGGCAACAAGAGTGAAACTGCATCTCAAAAAAAAAAAAAAAACAAAAAGACTGATTTCAGATTTGAACTTGGGGCAGCTGACTCCAGTGCCCATGCCATCCTGGGATATTTCACGAGCTTTGTATCCCTGCAGCCTCCACATGGACCTATGGGTATCGTGACAGGAACGGCACCCTGGGTATGGCCCCCAAATTTTGGTGACTTGTCACAGCTGGGTTTGTCAAATCCCAATTCTCTAGACCATTCTGTGTTCCAATAGAAATATAATGTGAGGCTGGGCGCAGTGGCTCATGCCTGTAATCCCAGCACTTTGGGAGGCGGAGGTGGGTGGATCATGAGGTCAGAAGATCAAGATCGTCCTGGCTAACACAGTGAAACCCTGTCTCTACTAAAAATACAAAAATTTGCCGGGCATGGTGGCACACACCTGTAATCCCAGCTACTCGGGATGTTGAGGCAGGAGAATCACTTGACCCCGGGAGGCGGAGGTTGCAGTGAGCCGAGATCATGACACTGCACTCTGACCTGGGCGACAGAGTGAGACTCCATCTCAAAAAAAAAAAAAAAAATTAAAATATTCAATAAAATAAAAAATTCTCAGTCACACTAGCCACATTAGCCATACTTGAAGTGCTCAATAACCACATGTGGCAAATGGCTACTGCTATGGTTTAAATGTGTCCCCCAAATGTCATGTGCTGGAAACTTAATCCCCCAATGTGGCAGTACTGAGCGGTTGGGACTTTTAAGAAGTGATTGGATCATGAAGCCTCTGCCCTTATGAATGGACTAACCCACTCATGGATTAATGGATTTGTGGGTTTTCACAGGAGGAGAACTGGTGGCTTTATAAGAAGAGGAAGAGAGACCAAAGCATAGCATGTCAGCATGCCCAGTCCCCTCTCCACGCTATACCCTGTGCCACCTCCAGACACTTCAGAGACCAGGAATAAGGCCCTCACCAGAAGTGCCCCCTCAATCTTGGACTTCCTATCCTCCATAGCTGTAAGGAATAAATTCCTTTTCTTTCAAAATTGTTCAGTTTCAGACATTCTGTTATAAGCAACAGAAAACAGACTAAAACCACTACCATATTGAGCACTACCACCCTGTACCAAGAATTCCTAACACATGGTCCAGGGGTACAGCAGAGGCAAAGAGTCTAGGTAGGCTGGAGTTTGGCTCCTAGATCTACACCAGAAACACCAAATAGCCTCAAGCCTCAGTTTCTGCATCTATAAAATGCAGTTAATTATACCTCCCTTGCATTGCAGTCATAAGGATTCAATGCATTGGGACTGCCTCATGTCATAGTTGTATCACATTTCTTGGGTTCAAAACCACATCTATTTTGGAAAAGTTACTTCAGCTCTTTGTACTTCAGTTTCCCCATCTGTAAAATGGGGATAACAATAGTTCCTACCTCGTTGGTTTGCATGAGAATTAAATGACAATATTTGTAAAGTGACTGGAATATAAATGCTATATAAGCATTTATTTAGAAGCGAGGAAAAGAATGGTGACCAACCTCCCAAAATTAAATGCAGAAATGTACTCTTTTCTGGAGAGAGAGTCAGGCTTTTATGAATTTCTTTCTCCAGGCTCAGAACATCTTTCTACTCAGATTTCTGAGCCCAGAAGGCTGCTTTTCTCTTTCCTATAGGTTTGGTTTTTTGTTTGTTTGTTTGTTTTTTTGAGGCAGTGTCTCGCTCTGCTGCCCAGGCTGGAGGGAAGTGGCATGTGATCTTGGCTCACTGCAACCTCTGCCTCCCGGGTTCAAGCAATTCTCCTGCCTCAGCTCCCTGAGTAGCTGGCATTACAGGTGTGGACTACCACACCTGGCTAATGTTTTTGTATTTTTAGTAGAGACGGGGTTTCACCAAGTTGGCCACGCTGGTCTCGAACTCCTGACCTTAAATGATCCGCCCACCTTGGCCTCCTAAACTGCTGGGATTATAGGCGTGAGCCACTGTGCCCGGCCTCTTTGCTATAGTTCTGATGAGTTCCGTCTCTGACCCCCAGCACTGATGTGGGGCCCACAGCAATGACATGAGCCATGCCTGCCTCCTTTCCTTCCACATGGGTGTCCCTAGTGATTGCCATATGCCTAAAATTCCACCATAGGTGTCCTTGAAACTTTTCATCTTCATACATTTCCCCCACAAAAGTGACATGATGCCTTAGAACTTCTGGTTGCGTTCCAAGTCTGGCTGAAGCCACTGAGCCTGTGAGATTGTGGACAAGTCACCTCCCTTTGCGGGGGCTTCAAATTTCTTATCTGTAAAATAAGAAGAGAAAGTTGGAGTAGGTCAGTGAGGTCAGTGTTTTCTGAAATATACCATGTACAACAATGGCTGAGTGCCAGAGGGTTTTAGGGTCTCCAGATACCGTATGACATAACTTTGAATCATAATTGTGATACACTTAAACCCTTTCAGTTTTCTTGCTGTTTCTCCAAAGACTCAGGGAGAAAGTCTCATTTAACAGCTTCTTTTTTTTTTTTTCTTTTTCTTTGAGACGGAGTCTCGCTCTGTCACCCAGGCTAGAGTGCACTGGCGTGATCTCAGCTCACTGCAAGCTCCGCCTCCCGGGTTCACGCCATCCTCCTGCCTCAGCCTCCCCAGTAGCTGGGAATATGGGCGTGTGCCACCACACCCAGCTAATTTTTGTATTTTTGCTAGAGACAGGGTTTCACCATGTTGGCCAGGATGGTCTTGATCTCCTGACCACGTGATCCACCCACCTTGGCCTCCCAGAGTGCTGGGATTACAGGTGTGAGCCACCGCGCCCGGCCAACAGCTTGTATGGTTTTTTTTTTTGTTGTTGTTGTTTTGTTTGTTTTTGAGACGGAGTCTTGCTCTTGCTCTGTCACCCAGGCTGAAATGCAGTGGTATGATCTCAGCTCACTGCAATCTCTGCCTCCCGGGTTCAAGCGATTCTCCTGCCTCAGCCTCCCAAGCAGCTGGGACTACAGGCGCCCGCCACCACGCCCGGCTGATTGTTGTTGTTGTTGTTATTGTTTTTAGTAGAGACGGGGTTTCACCGTGCTAGCCAGGATGGTCTCGATCTCCTGACCTCGTGATCCACTCGCTCGGCCTCCCAAAGTGCTGGGATTACAGGCATGAGCCACCGTGCCCGGCCTCACAGCTTCTATGTTTTTAACACCTCTCTTGTTAAGAATGAGACAGCAGAGTTCAGCTTGGAGCCTTCAGCAAGAAACAGGATTTAGCTGGAATGGAATAACCTGGTTCTGCTTTTTTTGTATGTAATTGTATGCTTACCTCTTCTTTATGGCAAATCATAGTAGTTTTCTATTTGAGGTCAGTGATTTAAAATTTCCATGTTAAATAAATTTAGATAAGTTTTTTAAAATGAGGTGGTTGTGGTCAAGCACAGTGGTCCATGCTTGTAATCCCAGCACTTTGGGAGGCAGAGGTGAGTGGATCACCTGAGGTCAGGAGTTTGAGACCAGCCTGGCCAACATGGCAAAAACCTATCTCCGCTAAAAATACAAAAATTAGCTGGACGTGGTGGCATGCACCTGTAGTCCCAGCTACTTGGGAGGCTGAGGCATGAGAGTCGCTTGAACCCAGGAGGCAGAGATTGCCGTGAGCCGAGATCATACCACTGCACTTCAGCCTGGGTGACAGAGCAAGACTCTGTATAAAAAAATAAATAAAATAAATAAATAAATAAATAAGTAAAAGATGAGCTGGTTGGAAGGAAGACATTATGGAACTAATATAAAAAATAAGTACATGGATTCAGACCAATCAACTTGGGGAAGACAGTGGGTGATTCAAGAATGGCAACTCCAGGGCTGTGATCCTCTCTGGGAGCCCTTATCTAGGAGACCGGGCACCTCCCTTCTCTGGAGGCCCCTGGGGGCTTTGCAGAAATCTCTCACCATCCAGATCACGCTAGGCTGGGCCTAAGGAGAGGCAGGAAGGCCAGCCCGGCGGTTGCCCCAGGGGCGGCCTGGGATTCTTCCTGAGAAAGGCTCTTCTCATGCCTGTGGGTGGAGCCCTGTGTGGGGACCTCCCTTACGTCATCTTGTGTCATCCTCAAACTTCCCCATGAAGCTGCTATTTTTATCCCTGGAGACAGATGAGGAAACCAGGGCTCAGAGCAGTGACATCACTAGTTTAAGGAGGGAGGAGACAGTGGGATTCAGAGCCAGCTGGCCTGGCTCAAAATCCGTGTGGTCTCTTGTCCACTGTCTTGGACAAAGTCACTTAGCTACTCAGACCCACAGCCCTATCTATAAAGTGGGATTGATGACAGTGTTTTCCTGTAGGGTTATTGAACTGCTTATTGTCATTGGGATTTCCCTCCCTCCCTTCCTTCCTTCCTTCCCTCTTTTCTTTTCTTTTCTTTTGAGAGAAGATCTCACTCTGTTGCCCAGGCTGCAGTGCAGTAGGGTGATCATGACTCACTGTAGCCTCAACCTCCCAGGCTCAAGCGATACTCCCGCCTCAGCTTCCTGAGTAGCTGGGACTATGGGCATGCACCACCATGCCTGGCCTGGGAACTGTTATTGGATTAAATGGAGGGTTAAATGGGCTAATACAGGTTAAGTTCACGCTTAGGAGAGTTCCCAGCACATGGTAAGCACTGGAGGGTGAGTGGCTATTATTATTTCCAAGGCCCCAGGGCTGCTGCACCTCCTTCCCCAGCAAACACACCCAGTGAGAGCTGAGGATAAAGGGGGAGGTGGGGACACACTTCCTGAGAGTGGCCCATGTGGAGCCTAAGCTGTGCCTTCCAGTGCTTCCTCATGTCAGCCTCACCACAGCCCTGTGAGCTAAGGATGCATTTACGCCCACTTTGCAAGTGAGCAAATCCAGTGTCAAAGAGTGAAAGTAACCTGCCCAGCGTTACACAGCTAGCCAGTGTGGCTTTTTGAGACGGAGTCTCACTCTCACCTAGGAGTGCGGTGGCATGATCTCAGCCCACTGCAACCTCCGCCTCCCGGGTTCAAGCGATTCTCACGCTTCTGCCTCCTGAGTAGCTGGGATTACAGGCGTGTGCCACCACGCCTGGCTAGTTTTTGTATTTTTAGTAGAGATGGGGTTTTACCATGTTGGCCAGGCTGGTCTCAAACTCCTGACCACAAGTGATCTGCCTGCCTCAGCCTCCCAAAGTGTTGGGATTACAGTCATGAGCCACCGTGCCTGGCCTGGGATTTAAACCCAGGTCTGCGTGGTTCCAAAGTCCACGTCATTCCACCATTTCAGGAGCCTCAACAGGATTGACGGGAGGTTCCTGGGGAAGTCCCGTGTCCTCCTCAAGGGTGAAGGGTTCTCTCTTTCTGTGTAGTGGAAATAGCTAGATCATAGCCATGGGCTGAAGACAGCTGGTCTGGTTCTGACCTTGCCTCTGACCTTGGGCAGCTACAGGTCTCTCCCTGGGCTTAGGCACATAATTGCTGCTTTGTATGTATAAGGGGTTAGGATCTCCAAACTTCCAGGGATCCTGATTCTCTTTCTCGCCTCTCAGCTGGAGGATGAGGGAGCCCCAGATCTGCCAGCTCCCAGTGCTGGACGCATTGCTGAGTCACCTGACCTTCCTTCCTTCCTGCCTGCCTTCCTGCCTTCCTTTTGCCTGCAGGTCCTGAAGCCATCAAAGGCCAGAGAAGGAAGGGGATTATATGTTCAGTCTGGATAACTGCCCAGGCCTTGCCTTTCTGAGAAAAGCTTGGGGGGTGGGGGTGGAATGCTGAAGCACTCAGCCAGTTGCATCAGAAAACCTTGCGCAAGGCGCCCTCCTGGGTCCAGCACTGAGCCCTGTCCCATAGTCCCCACCCCTACCCTGTCCCCTGAGGTGCCAGAATGAGGACTGTTCAGCCTTGCGAGGGACACTGAGCAAGGCCAGGCTGTCAGGGAGTGATGGAGGAAGTTGAGGGATGAAGGAAGGCTTTGGGGCCAGTGCTGAGAGGGCTTAGGCCGCCTGGGTGAAGGAACTTGAGCTGGAAGTTGCTCCTCAGGACATTTAGATCCAACTCATCCACCTGGCTTCTCTCCCAAAGAAGAGGAGACAAGGCCAGTGCCCTGGACACTAACTGACCCAGATCCTTGACTGTGGTCCTAGGGTGAACCCTATTGCCTGACTTTGCACTTCAACTGCACTCTGGCCTGAAACCTTGAACATGGTCTGACCTGTGATCACTAAGCCCTGGGCCGTAGCCACAGCTAACGCCGACCCAGGTCCCAAACTGAACGGTGTCTTGGTCACTTTTTCCCCACATGATCCATAAACTGAATTTGAATTCTAGCTCCTGATTGAGTTATAACCCTGGAGATAGATTTAGCTCTAATCCATCATGTGTGACCCCAGGCCCCAGATAAACCCCAACTGTAGCCCCAGATACCCTAGCCATAGATTCTCTCTCTGGTCTCAACAGGGCAGTGCTCAGGCACAGGAATCAAGAGCTTGGCACCTGCTCCCCTCCCCTCTGGGCTGCTCCCCATACCCCCCCAGGTCGAGGAAGGCTGAGGGGCTGGACTGAACATGGGACAGCCCCCTGACCAGCCTGACTGTGACTCAGCAGGGTGGGAGCTGGAGGTAGAGTCAGGCAGGACCACTGGGGATAGGCCAGGCAGGTGCTGAGTCAGGGCAGGGAGAGAGGGACAGTCTCTGAGTGCAGAGCTGGTCTGGGATGTGGGATGGTACATGTGGTCCGACAGGCCCTTTAAGGTAAAGCAGCTCCAGTCCTGAAGCCAGGCCCTTTAAGGCAAATAACCCCGATCCTATCCATCTCCATCTACCCATTTATTGTCCATTTTTCCATCACTTATCCATATTATTCTCTCCCAGAGCATCCTGTTCTTTTCCACCAGAACACTTAACTATAATTGGAATTATGTATGTATTTGTTATTTGTTTAGTGTCTGCCTCACCCACTGAACTACAGGCTCCCTTAGGACAGGCACCTTGCCTGTGTGGCTCACCAGTGTCTCTAGCACCTCATACAGTGCCTGGCACACGGCAAGTGGTCAGTAAATAGTAGTTGAAGAGATTAAATCCCTCCACCCATCTATTCATTCCTTTTCCATCTATGAATTATTATTTTATAATGCATCCCCACCATCTAGCCATTCGAATTTCTCGCTGTTCTTTCATCTACCCTCCATCCGACAAGCATCCATCCATCCACCTACATAGCTTTCCCATATCAATCCATGCTATTTATAGAATCATCCGTTTCTTCAACAAATATTTACTGAGTACCTACTACTTGCCAGGCAACATTCCAAAGGCTAGGGATACTACAGTGAAAATAACAGACAAAAGTGGCGCTTACATTCCATTAGAAGGAAAAGTGCAGCCAGGCACAGCGGCTCACACCCGCAATCCCAGTACTTCGGGAGGCTGAGGCGGGAGGATCACTTGAGCCTAGGAGTTTTAGACTAGCTTAGGCAACATGGTGAAACCTCATCTCTACAAAAAAGTACAACAACTAGCCAGGCATGGTGGTGAGTGCCTGTAGTCCCAGCTACTCAGGAGGCAGAGGAGGGAGGATGGCCTGAGCCAGGTAGGCCAAGATTTCAGTGAGCTGAGATCATGCTGCTGCACTCCAGACTGGGCAACAGAGTGAGACCCTGTCTCAAAAAAAAAAAGAAAGAAACATGCAAGAAATAATTACCATAATAAGTACATTGTAGCACATGTTAGGGGGTGACGAATGCAAGGGAAAAAAAGAGTAAGTACAGAGATGAGGAGTGTTGGGTGGGCAGGCAGTGGCTGTATTGAGTGGAGTGTTCAGTGGATGCCCTGAGACTATCCGAAGGGCAAATTCTTCAGGAAGAGGAACAGCTCATGCAAAAGCTCCAAAAGGAAGCTGACTAGCTGACTGGTGTGCCATCGGAGAAGGTCAATGTGGCTGGAGTGCAGCCAGTGACAGGGAGGCGGTGGGAGATGAGGTCAGAGAGGTAAAGGGGGTTCAGATAATCTGGAGCTTTGGAGGCCTTTGAAAGGACGCTGAGGAGTCATGGGGAGGCAGGGGAGGGTTTAAGGAGAGGAGGGAAGTGATCTCACTTACCTTTTTTTTTTTTTTTTTTTTTTTGAGATGGAGTCTCGCTCCTGTCATGCAGGCTGGAGTGCAGTGGCGCGATCTTGGCTCACTGCAACCTCCACCTCCTGGGTTCCAGTGATTCTTCTTCCTTAGCCTCCTGAGTAGCTGGGACTACAGGCGTGCATCACCTTGCCCGGCTAATTTTTGTATTTTTAGTAGAGATGGGGTTTCATCATGTTGGCCAGGCTGGTCTCGAACTCCTGACCTCAGGTGATTCACCCGCCTCAGCCTCCCAAAGTGCTAAGATTACAGGGTGAGCCACCATGCCCAGCCATTTTTTTTC